>NC_000023.11:36197121-36347478 GCF_000001405.40 Homo sapiens
GAACATGTTAGTCAAAATAATTTTTTGAGATATGGTAATATACTGTGTGTGTAAGATGTAGAATTTAGTGGAAATTGAGTGGAGTCCTAGTTAATAATATTTTAACTGATGAATCAATGGCTGAGAAGATGTTATAATTTATATTTGAGGAAAATATTCTGGCAAATAGCCATTTACTCCTTTTAAATTGACTCCCATAGGTTGGTATTCATTTTCACATGGTAGACAAGCCCTAGTTCAGGTTTTATTTGGGCACACATTAAAGGAAACAGGTAGTTATAATAACTCTACACTCAATGAGTCTAATTGCTTATGCACATTTTATTTTTGATAAAACAACGAATTTTTAGGTAATTAGTTATCTAATTTCGTTGTTTTATCTAAAGATCTTCAGTCTTTAACTGATGCATTTTTCCTCTACTTGAATTACTGAATATTTTACATCTTTAATTGTTGATCATTCAGTTGTATTTGTGTGGAAACACATACAAACACACAAACACACAAATCACATTTCAAATGGCTAGCTTGGATTTTTGCTTGTAAAGTACGTGGCTGCTTAAGAAAATATACTATATGAAAATTGTGTATTATGTAGTATTTATTGCCAGGAGTGTATAGACTTAAATGATAAATAATATAAAACGTTCAAAGTTTTTCATATTCTTTTTTCCAGCATGAACTATAGATAACTGTGGGTCTTAATTAATAAAATTTTAGGGAACATTATCATACAGCAATAGACCACCAAATGAATTATAAACAAATCCTAATGGGGGATAACAAAGCTATAAATAATAGACCTCACAGTGAGAAATTTTTCATTCTTATATTGTTTATAGATTAATTTTTAATTTCTGTTTCATTTGTTATCTAGATTTGTAATATTTTAGAATATGTATTTTTTGCATGATCAATTTACCTTTATATCATTGTTGACAAAAAGAGTCAAACTCTAAAATATTTGGGGAGATTTATTCTGAGCCTAATATGAATGACCATGGCCTGTGACCCAGCCCCAGGAGATCCTGAGAACATGTGCCCTAGGTAGTCAGGATGCAGCTTGGTCTTATACATTTTAGGGAGGCATAAGACATCAATCAATACATGTAAGATATACATTGGTTCTGTCCAGAAAGCAGGATAACACAAAGTGGAGACTTCCAGGTCATAGAATTTAATGATTTTCTGATTGGCAATTGGTTGAAAGAGTATATCTAAAGATCTGGAATACATGGAAGGGAGAATGTTGGTTAAGATACTGGGTTGTGGAGACCAAGATTCTTCTTATACAGATGAAGTCTTCAGATAGCAGGCTTCAGAAGGAATAGATAGCAAATTATTCTTATCAGACTTAAAAAGATGCCAAACTCTTTAGTTAATTCTCTCCTGGATCAGGAAAAAGACCCGGAAAAGGAAAGGGGATTCTCTACAGAATGTAGGTTATCCCCGTAAGTGACAGCTTTGCAGGGCCATTTCAAAATGTCAAGGAAATCTATTTTGAGATAAAATACTTTGATTTCTTTCAGGGCCTGCTATTTCATGTTGATACCTTCCTGCTAGAGTCTGTTTTTCAGTCTTAAGGTCTCTGTTGTAATGTTAATGCTGGTAAGCTGTGCCTGAATTCCAACAGGAGGAAGGTATAATGAGGCATGTCTGGACTCCCCCACTTCCTGTCATGGCTTGAACTAGTTTTTCAGGTTAACTTTGGAATGCCTTTGGCTGGGCAGGGATCCATTTAGTTAGTTGGGATCTTAGAATTTTATTTTTGGTTTACATCATTTATCTAGATGTTTCATGATTATAATGAAGCAAATCCCAGTGATCACAGAATTTTATTCATAAGCAATTCAGTAAGTGTTTCTACAACAAAAATGTTTTTTTGACACTGCCAAAGATATCCTTGCTATAAAAATATGGTAAAGTTTTTCTTAATATCGTCCAAACATCCAAGCTGTTTTCAGATTTCTCCAATTGTCTTATACTTATTTGTATGTTTTTTCTGTCACTTCGTTTTAAGATTCTTTGAATCAGGATCTAAATAAGGTTCAACCATTGTGATTGCATATGTCTTTTGAGACTCCCTCTCTCCTTTTCCTTTTTATTAAAACTCTAGGTTCCTAAAATTAAGGTATTGATCATCCCATATTACAGAGGAGGAAACTGGATTTCAGAGGTTTAGTAAACTTGCTTGAAGCCTAGTAGCTAAGAAATGGCAGTGCCAATTAAAACCAGAAATGTCCACCTCTGCTGATCTTTCACTATATCATGTTGCTGCCCTTGCATTATTCCTGCTTTTGTTTTTGCCTTATCTCTTTAGCCTGTTGGTCTAAAGAAAGAAATTGAGGCAACATTAATATAGAGAGGTTATTTGGGCCAAGGTTCAGGATGGCTGCAAATGACTTACTTCCAGGTCGCCTTGGGTAGTGCTCCCTTCATTCTTTGTTACAAACAGATTTTTAAAGGCAAAAAGGGACAAGGGTGGCTGATACAAAGTTGTTTGACAGGAATCCTCCCTGATTTATAGAAATAATATTGGCTAATGATTGGCTATACATTGTTTGAACTATAGAGTATGAGTTATGGTTTCTAGCATATGGCATTTTATGGCTACTTGGCTTCAGTTAGTGTAGAGACCACATATCAAGTGGCCTCAAGAAGTAATTATTTAGCTCAAGGGGATGTGAAACTCAACTGCTGTCACATTTTAATGCCTCTCTGGGACGGATAATTAAAGAGGGCTTTTGTTAATCAAATAAAAGATTCTTTTCTTTCTTAAGCCTTTTCTACTTCTGGTCTAATTATTTTTTCTAAAAAAAATTTAGACTTTTCCATGTTCATTTTGAAAGCCTGCACTTTAAAATGTAGAGTTTTGGGGACTCAGATGCCTGGCAAAACTGATGTCACTCCTGTCCAATAATAAGTTACAGACTAAAGGAAAAAAATTTCTTGCTTCCTCATTTTGTTCATTTTAAGACAGCATTTGCCTGAGGATATTTGGGAAGATCAACTGCTATCAATGCAATCCTGGGACCTTCTTAAGCAATCCCTGTGCTCTGGTTGCAGGCAAAGTTTCTCCCATACTATGGTTGAACTATATTTGTGCCTTACCTTTGTTTACCCATTTATAGGCTGTGTTGCTTATAAAAGCACAATGCATGGTAGTTCTTACAGTATGCAGATTTCCCTTGTAGCAGAAAAAGTTATATTTTTATGAGAGATTTTGAAATTTAATACTATAATGTCTTGTGTTTTAGATTGGACAATTAATATATGTTGCGGAAGGAAAAGGTATGACCCCCTTGCCTTCCAGTTGCCTTCCAATGAATACGTCTTCAAGTCCAGTTTATTACAGCACTACTCGAGAAGAAGGTAGAGTACACATGTGTTTTATTTCATTTATAATGTTGAAGAATGGACTTTTCCTCATATAGTTACCTAAGCATACTCATAGCAAGCTTCTCTTCTGTGTGTTTAGATTTCGAAAGGGCTTCTTTTAACTTTATTATGTCAGTATCCATGAAATAGAGCAGCACCATTTTACCAATTAAAAAATTTCAATGGTGATTTTTTAAGTCTTCCTTTTCCAGTCTTAAGCTAAATATTGGAATTTGGCATACAAAATATTTACTTGGCAACACTTTCCATTTCTCAAATAATCTGGAAATTATTTTACTCTCAAAAAATCTACATAATGTTATATAACCTGGAATTTTACCCTGGCCCCCAGTTCTTGATTATTTTTCCTTAAGGAACTAAGCATTAAAATGTTGTCAGTGAAAGCAAATGACAGTTCTTGGGAGTTTTTGACAGGTGTCTTTTTTTTTTCCACATTTATGTCTACTCTCCCCCTACCTATCACTGATAGGAGCACAATGGTCACTGAATTTTTGAGCATGTTGATGACGTTTATATGGACCAATCATTTGACTAGATCTCTTAGAGAATACCAATAATCTTTAATTCCTGAAAACTTGCTCTTTAATTACTGAATTAGAACTAATAGACATGTGCTATGCATTTATTTTTACTCTGTTTCATAATGACCATAACTGCAATTTTATATTTCAAACCTCCCAAGTCCATCCTGGATGACAATGTCAAGGGCATAAATGTTCATTGTATTCATTAATATTTTTTTTCTTCCTCCAGGGCCTAATAAGAAATACCCAGTTCTGTATTTGAAATGCAAACCCTATCAAATCCTGTATGTGGACCTTAAATTGCCAATGACTAATGAAGCCAAGGAAAAGGCTTTGGCTTTTGCAGCACAGCAACAGATGTCGAGTATTGAGTATGAGCGAAGGTTGATCACAGGCACTCTAGAGAGCAGTAGTATCCGTGTGGCCATCGCCCTCCTGGGACTGACGAAGATCGAGGTGGGAATGGAGTAATAGATGATTCACTTCAATTACTCTCTCTTTAAAAATACACAGAGTTACAGAGCTGTTACTATTTAAAATATTATTTTCATTAAATAACATTTTTAGAAGGAAAAGTAATGAGTACCGAAGGACAGCTCAGTTGTCATTTTTTCCTTTATACCTCGTTAAATAATGAATCTGAAACAAAGCATTCTACTATGTAATTTAAGGCATTACAGTGTAGTCATTAATTCACAGTAGTTTTCACTTCTGTTTGCACATTAGAGTGCCCTGGAGAACTTAAAATAATGCCCATACCCAGGCCCCACTCAAGAAAAATTAAATATGAATCACTAGGAGGGGGTGGGTAGGAATATGTTCTAAAAGTTGCCCAGGATATTTTGCTGTGTAGCCAGGTAGAATCATCTCTGGTGTCAGATAGCCAGACTGAGAATTCAGACTCTAACACTGTCTAGCTGTGTGACTGTAGGCTGGTTATTTAAACCTCCTCAAGCCTAAATTTTTATATTTTTTTATATGGAGATATTGGTAATTTGTAAAAACTGAAATAATTATACATAAAATGCTTACCTCGTATATATAATAAGTGCACTCTTTATGCATGATATTGAGGTACTTATTACTACCCTGTAGTAATAGTACACTACTATTGCTATTAACTATTGCTATAGACTCTATCATTACAGCTTAGAATAAGGTACAATCTATTTTTATGATTGGAATTAGGTACAATCTATTCTCACAGAGCAGCCAAAGCGATTGTTGTAAACGCAAGCCTGCTCATGTTGCTCCTGTGTGCATATTCTTCTACTGGCTTTCCAGCTAACGTTTGTTAAAAGCCCATATCCTTTGGATGATCTACATGACCCGTCATGTAGGAGTCCATCAGTTCCTCTTCCTTCCCTCATCTCACCTTTTCTACTGGAGTCCATTCTCTAAGGCCACTCCCTCAGCACATGCCTGGTTGCTTTGCTTCAAACATGCCAGGTGTCTTCCCCATGGCCTTTGAACTTTCTCTGTTACTTTTCCCTACACATTAGTGGGCTACCTCTCTCAGTTACTTCAGGTGTCTGTTAAAGTGCTCTTACTGGCCAGGCGTGGTGTCTCACGCCTGTAATCCCAGCACTTTGGGAGGCCAAGGCAGGTGGATTACCTGAGGTCAGGAGTTCAAGACCAGCCTGACCAATATGAAACCGGGTGTTCACTAAAAATACAAAAAACTTAGCCTAGTGTGGAGGCGTGCACCTGTAATCCCAGCTACTTGGGAGGCCGAGACAGGAGAATTGCTTGAACCTGGGAGGTGGAGGTTGCAGTGAGCTGAGATCACACCATTGCACTCCAGCCCTGGCAACAAGAGTGAAACTCCGTCTCAAAAAAAAAAAAAAGAGAAAGAAAAAAAGCTATAAATGAGGTTTTGTTTTAGCAACTTACACACATTTTTATATACATTTTTCTTTCTTAAGATTTATCTTCATTTATATATATCAAAGTACTTGGCATTGTAGAAATTATTTATTTTTTTATTTGTCAGAAGCTAGAATCAATACAGCCTAATCCCAGATTTCTAACAATTGGTGATGATATTTTTAAATGACCTGGATTTTGAATTTCTGGTTGGCTCAAAAAATGTTAAATCCTGAGGCTTTGATACTTTCTTGACTGCACCGTGCTTCTAAGAAGTTGATGGTTTTCTTTAGCTCAAACCAAACCACTTCTTTCTGATATAGAACAATAGATTTCAGAAGGTTTATGTTCAACTTTCAGTACACTATTACATTAAAATTTTTCAATTAGTGGCTCTTTCAAAATTTAAGCCTGTCATAATGCCCTCCCATTTTCTTTTTCAATTCATTTTCTTCATTATTACCTCTTGTCAAAACATTTTATTTAAATTATAAATGGTTGAGAGAGGTGTTATTTTGTCCATGACTAGCCTTTTCATTGTGTATGCATATATATAGTTTCTTTCTCCTTCTTCCTTTAGCTTTTTCCTTGGAACGCAGCATATGTGTTTATTATTACATTTAATAAATTATGTTTTTATTGGATTTACTTTTATGTTTAACTGTTTCTCCTGTCAGATTGTGAAATCCTAGAATCTTAAGAACTTTTCTCACGTGTTTTGGTCTATCCTTTGACATCTTATGCATGATATGAGCCTTGTCGTTGTTTAATTGAATTGAAAATATGCCTAAAGAAACAAAAGTCACTTTTAACTTGCTTCACTTACACTTAGAGACCTGGGCTTATATTAAGTGTCCACTTTACGAAGAATAGTATTGAACTACATTTTGTCTAGAGGAGCATATGCATGGAGGTGAGTTGTTGTAACCCCCATTATCATTGTAATCATTGAGGAACTAAAAATAACAAACCTAGGTAAGAGAGTTTTTGAACATCTGTGGAGAGGTGGGACCCAGTTATTTTTGTAAATTCACAAAATTGTCTTTAGTGAAATAGGAGGCCTCAGTCTGTGCTACTAATAAGAATGTATCTGATGATGAGCATTTTTTCATGTGTTTTTTGGCTGCGTAAATGTCTTCTTTTGAGAAGTGTCTGTTCATATCCTTCGCCCACTTTTTGATGGGGTCGTTTGTTTTTTCTTGTAAATTTGTTTGAGTTCATTGTAGATTCTGGATATTAGCCCTTTGTCAGATGAGTAGGTTGCAAAAATTTTCTCCCATTCTGTAGGTTGCCTGTTCACTCTGACGGTGGTTTCTTTTGCTGTGCAGAAGCTCTTTAGTTTCATTAGATCCCATTTGTCAATTTTGGCTTTTGTTGCCATTGCTTGGAAACCATCATTCTCAGCAAACTATCGCAAGAACAAAAACCAAACACCGCATGTTCTCACTCATAGGTGGGAATTGAACAATGAGAACACATGGACACAGGAAGGGGAACATCACACACCAGGGACTGTTGTGGGGTTGGGGGAGGGGGAGGGATAGCATTAGGAGATATACCTAATGCTAAATGACGAGTTAATGGGTGCAGCACACCTACATGGCACATGTATACATATGTAACAAACCTGCATGTTGTGCACATGTATCCTAAAACTTAAAGTATAATAATAAAAACAAAAGAATGTATCTGATATATCTGATGGGTAGATATGAAGGAGTACAGGTTTCAACTAAAGGAGAAAAGCACTTTCTCAAATGCTGGTCAGCGGTGGAATAGTTTCCTCTTAAGGCAAGGCATTTCTCAACACTGAAAGCATTAGCACGGGGGACATTGGTCATCTCTCAATAAAAGAGGACTCCACTGGTTTTCTGAAATGTGTTTGTACTGTTTTCCACCAATTAAATAAAAATAATGAAATAATCAAATTCAATCCTTGATGGATTTTTTTCCCCAAAGGTATAGTCTAAATACATAATGCTGTCTTTTGTGTTTTGGAGGTGAAAGTTAAGAAAATTACATTCTAATTTTACTGTTTGTTCACAGACTCTTATGCTCTTTCGTATCTCAAAGTTGAGGAAGCCTAAGACCGTTTCATACACAACAGAAGTGAGCCTTCCAAAGTATTTTTATATCCCTGAGAAAATCTCCATTCCTTGGATTCCAGAACCTCAAGTAATTAAACTTTCAAAAGCAAAAGGTAATCAGTGATGTGCGGCCTAAAAATCTAAGTGTTCCGGGAATGATGATGTATTCACTTCACAGTTGAGGCAAAAAGAGATTACACTTTTACTGACAAAGTGTTCATAATATAATTGAAGGGTTTCAGTGAAGTAAATACCAATTATTGAATGATGCTTTGCATTACATATAATCAACATATTACATCACAGTAATCAAAATTATGTACTGAATTTGGGTGCTAAATTACTGGTACTGAAACTTGCAGGCTTACAAATTTGTTAAAGAGTGGTAATCTGATAAAGATAATAAGTGCACTTTGAGGAAGGTGAGCTCTTGCTTTGAGAGTGAACTTGGTTATGGAAGTTGTGCTGAAGTTGAGGCTTAGGCTGGCTCTAAAAGAAAGGAAAAATGTTGATGGCTAGAGGTTATCAGAGGAGAAGAATGTGTTATTGGTGAGTAACTTATCTTTGATCTGGAGCAGGATTTTTATTGAATACTGTACTTATTTTTGATCTCCTGGTGCCCCTTTATTCTGTTGCCATTATCAATAAGGTTTAATCCAAATTTAATATGAATATTGATATACTAGCATTACTAAATACAAGTGATAAGACATAAACAAGTGACTAAATATTTTTAACTATTCAAAATTACCTTTCTTTTTCATTTCAGTTCTTTTCAAACAACTGGATAATAGTAGGAATGTAATTTATTCACTAAGGCTATTCCTAGAATGTTCCACAATTCCAGTATCATGGATTCTCACTTATGCTTTTGCTAAATTTGGTTTTGTTAAATCTTCATTTGTCATTCTAGTATGGATTTGTGTTGGCTACAAAATATTTGTAAGCCTGAAAGGGTGATTACAACTTATAAATTACAAGATAGTCTGTTTACTTTCCCTCCCTAGGAGAACTGAGATCCCAGACTCAAATGCTAAGTGGCCATGCAAATAACAAGGAATTAAGAGTTAGGTCTGGTCTAAGGTAATAGGGATGATAGATCCTATGGTGAACTAGAGAGTAGATGCCCTGTCTAAACATTCACATTCAAAAAGTAAAAATAAAAATAACCTGAGCCAGCCAAACAACTACGGAGGGATATTTGGCTTACCAGCAATCAGTTTGAGACCCTTCATCATAAGTCTTTATCTTATTAAAATCTTTATTAACTCAGCTTTTCAATGTGCTATTAGAATTTTAAATGGATAACTTGTTTTAGTAACTTTTTAATCCCTTTTGAGATAACTGGATAAAGCTGCATCTACTTTGAAACACAGAGAGGATTGTGAATGTATTTATTCAGCCATTCGTTCATCGACAATGTTGAGCATCAATTCCCCTAGGCAAAAAGATAAAAATTGCCTTATTCTTTCCTTTGGTGGACTCACAGATAAGTAGCTCTTATAATACAATGAGATAAGTGTTATATATAGACACATATAGAATGTGTTTATAAATAAAATTAAGAATTAATTCAGGTGACTATATAGGATAATTCAAATGTTAAAGCATTTCACTTTGAGAAAATGTATAACCAAGGATACACAGCATAGAATTGACTTAAAACTTGAAGTATAGCCTTATTAAACACTCATGAAGACTGTGTCATATTTAAATAGTTTTTAAGTTATCTACATTTAAAAATCTGTTCAGATATTTTTCTAAGGCTGATTTTTTCTTTCATATCAATTATTAATTATCCATTTTGGTAAGATGATTACTGTCAAAATATGAAAAAATAAAATGGCAAACAATTTTGAATTATCATTAATAAAACGTTTTAAATGTAGTTGGGCTATCATGGTTTATGTCTAACTCGATTTTCTGTGCAGCTGAGATTATAAAGGGATCTTTTCATCCTATGTTTCTGTTTTCACTGCCTTAAACAGGCACTTAAATGAAGTAAGTTTAAGAAGAAAGATATTAGTAAACTTTCAAAAATAGGATATTATAACTCAGGATAGTAACAAATGAAATAAAAGGCATGCCCTAAACTCTGTGCATTCTGCTGTTCAGAGGTGGACTTGAATAATGAAAAGGAATGGGATGCAAGCATTGTAACTTTAATAAATGCAATTCTATTAGAATTTGTGCCTTAGAAGATTAGAGTTATGTGTTTAGAAAACATATTTTTATGGTATAAACTGATTTTAGGAGAATAAACAAGCAAATTTCTGATAATAAATATGGCAATATTGAAACAAAACTTTTTTTTTTTCTTTTGGTGTCATGGAGAAAGAAACAAATGACAAGAATTTATCTGGAGAACCAGGGATAGCCCAGTGTTCCCCTAACTGCAGAAGACAGGTAGAAGTAGGACCATATTTATGATCACTTGAAGTTCTAAACTCATCAAAAGAAGCTAGTTTTAAGGTATTAAAAAAGTGGCTTTCTTTCCTCTCACATTAATGTTGTCAATCAGTCTTTACTGAAACATTTAGTGATTTTAGGGACGGATTTACTGTGATACCAAAGGAGCAGAAGCTTTATGATTTTTTACTTTTTTGACCCCCTTTCCTAGTCCCTGTACCTACTTTTATATTTCTAATTTTACATTATTGCTCTTTTGGAAGGCCCCTCCCGCAAATTGTGACAACCTCATGCCTCACAAAACTCAGAATTGAACCTGGGTGTAGATATTGACTTACAATCCCTTCTACCTGTGGTTCCTGGGATGTTGAAATTTATGGACAGGCAGAGCTTTATTGGCCTTAAATTGCTAGCATAGCTAAGCAGGAGACCTGCTATGTTTCCACTAGCAATTATCCAAATCACTTCCCCAATATACAGAGTCCTATATGAGCAATATTTGCCAAAGCACTCAAACAAAATGCTCCGGGCTGGTTTTGCTGATCAATTAATATGGAGCAAAAAACCCTCATTCCTAAGTGTTAATGACTTCAGTTTCTAGTATTTTGTATCGCTCTAATTTCTTCTGCTCCTTCTCTCTTGGGAGAAGAAGAAGAAATTAGATTAATTCAAAATATTGATCTAAATATTGATCTTCTAATGTGACAGACATGTTAGAAGAGCATATTGTAGGAGCACTGTTATCCTTCTGTCCCTTCTCCCACCTAATTCCAATTTCCCTAATTTTAAAATATTCACTAATAATTAGCAGTTAAATTGGTGGCTGAAATACCAGTAAATCATCCATGACAACTTTTTAATGTGTAACGTAATTGTAAATATGTAGAAAATATTTATTATCAATAACTAATACTATATGTACAGTCATCCCTCAGTATGCACAGGGGATTTGTTCCAGAACCACCCGTGTATACTCAAATCCACTCATACTCAAGTCCCACAATGGATCTCGGGGAACTCACTGATAAGAAAACTCAGCCCTGGGTATACACGGGTTCACGGCCCACAGACACTGTATTTTCTGTCTACATTTGGTTGAAAAAAAATCTGCATGTAAGTGCACCCATACAGTTCAAATACGTGTTGTTCAATGGTCAACTGCAGTTCTCATTTTACGAAGATTAAATACATTAATAGCTAAATTACTCTTCAGCCTCAAAATATAATTGAAAAATTGTGAAAAAATGAAACTAAACTAATCCTTAAAACATAAAATAGGTGAGGTGCGGTGGCTCATGCCTGTAATCCCAGCACTTTGGGAGGCCGAGATGGGTGGATTACCTGAAGTCAGGAGTTTGAGACCAGTGTGGCCAACATGGTGAAACCCCGTCTCTACTAAAAATACAAAAATTAGCCTGGCATGGTGGCGGGTGCCTGTAATCCCAGCAACTTGGGAGGCTGAGGCAGGAGAATTGCTAGAACCTGGGAGGCGGAGTTTGCAGTGAGCCGAGATCACACCATTGCACTTCAGCCTGGGCGACAAGAGAGAAACTCTATCTCCCCCAAAATAAAAACAAACAAACAAAAAAACCAAAAACTTATGAAACATACTTTGTAAATAAACTCTACATCTCTGTATCATATGGAATAACCACAAATACATTTCAAACAGGATAAAAAATAAATTTTGTTTAACAGAATATCAAATTAAATGCTAGTTTTAATGATGTAAGCTGACTTTAATTGGAACAAATCTATTATACTTTATTGTTAGCATTGCCAAAACTTACCTAATATTAAAAGTATGAGTCGGTTAATTTTTCTCAAAATAACAAGGGTTAAGCTTGTGTTATTATATTCGTCACATTAGTTTTTGGCAAAAACTCTTCAAATTTGCAAAACAAATTTAAAATTGAATTTCTTTAACTCACTTAGAAATATAATTTATATGTATCTTTCAGAGAGGATTGCCACAATTGTAAAGCATCCTGTCCAATTATAGTCCATATAAGAATGTGATTAGATTCTGGAAGAAAATCAGTAACCCATATACTACATTTAAATCTTATAAGATCAAAACATAAATTTTTTAGCAAACCCAAATTGGCAAGAGCAAGGAAATGACAACTCTGTTTTTGGTCTTTAAATGTAAATTTAATTATAAATATAATAAATTTTATTATAGTCTATCTTCCTAGAAGAGTTGCAAAAATAACCATAAAGGATACTTGTCATTTGAATTTACATCAAGTAAAAAATAAAAGGATATTCACCTGTGCTCACACTCAGATCTCTAATCCTCTATTTATGTATTTTGATTTTAAGGTTTGTTGAGATATCTTTCACATACCATACAATTCACAAATTTAAAGTGTATAATTCAATAGTTTTCAGTATATTTATAAATATGTGTAGTCATTAACACAGTCAATTTTAGAACACTTTTATGGTCTCAAAAAAAACCCAGTACTCTTTAGGTACCATGCCCCTCCATCCTCCACCATCCCATCAGCCTTAAGCAGTCACTAATCTAATGTCTATCTCTATAGAAGTGCCTATTTTGGAGATCTCATGTAAAATGAATCGTATGTTACATTTTCTGACTGGCTTCTTCACGTAGCAGTATGCCATTTCTAGTAATGATCAAATAATATTCCATTTTGTGACTATGCCCTACTTTGTTTATCCATTCATCAGTTAATGGACATTTGGGTTGTTTCTACCTTTTAGCTACCATGAATAATGCTGCTATCAACATTTGTGTACAAGGTTTTATGCAGACATATGTTTCTATTTATCTTGGGTATACATCTGTGAGTAGAAGGGTTGAATCATATGGGTAACTCTATGTTTAACCATTTGAGAAACTGCCAAAATTTTTTCCAAAGTGGCTGCACCATCTTACATTCCCACCAACAGTGTATGAGGATTCTAATTATTCCACATCATAGGCAACACTTGTTATTGTCTGACTTCTTGATTCTAGCCATCCTAGTGAGCAGAAGTAGTGTCTCACTGAGGTTTTCATTGGCATTTTCCTGATGAATAATGATGTTGAGCACCTTTCCATGTGCTTATTTGCCATTTGTATACCTTATTTGTATAAATGTCTATTCGGATTTTTTACCCACTTTAAAAATTTAGTTGTCTTTTTATCATTGAGTTGCAAGTGTTCTTTCTATATCTCAGATACAATATCTTATCAGATAGACATATGATTTGCAAGTATTTTCTCCCATTCTGTAAGTTGTCTTTTTACTCTCTTGATAGTATCCTTTGAAGCACAGGAGTTTTTTATTTCAATGAAGTCCAGTTTAACTGTTTTTGTTGTTCTTGTTGCTCTTGCTTTTGATCATATCTAAGAATCCATTGCCAAATGTGAGGTCATGAAGATTTATCCTTATCTTTCTTGTAAGACTTTCATAGCTTTAGTTCTCACATTTAGGTGTTTTATCCATTTTATGTTAATATCTGTATATCCTGTGAGAACTTCATTCCTTTGCATGTGGCTACCAAGTCGTCTTAGCAGCATTTGTTGAAAACACTACTCTTTCCACACTGAATGATCTTGGCACCTTTGTTGAAAATCAGTTGACCCTCTCACAGCCATTGCAGTACATTGATCTCCATAGAGACAGTGCCAGGGCAGGTGAGAGCCAGAAGGGCACTGGGCAATTCTGTGCCTCACTGAAGAAAAGTAACTAAACATGGGCAAAAGAGACCCTAAGCAGCCAAGAGGCAAAATGTCATCATATGCATTTTTTGTGCAAACTGCTCAGGAGGAGCACAAGAAGAAACAACTAGATGCTTCAGTCAGTTTCTCAGAGTTTTCTAAGAACTGCTCAGAGAGGTGGAAGACCATGTCTGTTAAAGAGAAAGGAAAATTTGAAGACATGGCAAAGGCAGACAAGGCCTGTTATGAAAGAGAAATGAAAATATATCCCTACTTAAAGGGGAGACAAAAAAGAAGTTCAAGGATCTCAATGCACCTAAGATGCCTCCTTCGGCCTTTTTTCTGTTCTGTTCTGAGTATCACCCAAAAACCAAAGGAGAACATCCTGTCCAGTCCACTAGTGATATTGTAAAGAAACTGGGAGGAATGTGGAATAACACTGCTGCAGATGAAAAGCAGCCTCATGAAAAGAAGGCTGTGAAGCTGAAGGAAAAATACAAAAAGGATATTGCTGCATATCAAGCTAAAGGAAAGCCTGATGCAGCAAAAAAAAGGGAGTTGTAAAGGTTGAAAACAGTAAGAAAAAGAAAGAAGAGGAGGAAGATGAAGAAGATGAAGATCAAGGGGAGGAAGAAGATGAAGATGATGATGATGGATAAGTTGCTTCTAGTGTAGTCTTTTTTTCTTGTCTATAAAGCATTTAATCCCCCTGTACACAACTCCCTTCTTTTAAAGAAAAAAAATTGAAATGTAAGGCTGTGTAAGATTTGTTTTTTAACTGTACAGTGTCTTTTTTTTTGTATAGTTAACACACTACTGAATGTGTCTTTAGAAAGCCCTGTTCTGGTGGTATTTACAATAGCCACTAACCTTGCCTGGTAGAATATGGGGGTTGTAAATTGGCGTGGAAATTTAAATCAGATTCTCGTTAGTGCACAGCACAAATTAGTTATATATAGGGATGGTAGTTTTTTCTTCTTCAATTGTCTGTGATGCATCTAACACAAAATAATTGTTCTGTTAACTGAATATCTCTCTAATTGCAAAAAAGAAACAGTTTCAGCTGTTTTGTTGACATTCTGAATGCTTCTAAGTAAAAACAATTTTTGAAATAAAAAAATCAATTGACCATAGATACATAGTTTATTTCTGTATTCTTTATTTTATCCCATTGGTCTACATGTCTGTCCTCATGCCAGTCCCAAACTGGTCTAATTACTATTGCTTTGTAGTAAGTTTTGAAATCAGAAAGTGTGAGTCCTTCAATATTTTTCTTTTTAACAAGATTATTTTGCTTATTCCAGACCCTTCCCAACCACAAATGGATTTTAGAATCTGCTCGTTGATTTATAAGAAGAAGCCTACGGGCCTTCTGATAAGTATTGCATTGATTCTGTAGATCAATTTGAGGAGGATTGTTATCTTAACAATATTGTCTTGAATCAGAAATTTGGAATTTTTTTTTATGTCTTTAGAAATTCTTTATTTTTTTAAAATGGGTTTTATATTTCTCAGAGTATAAGTTTTACACTTTTTTTAGTTAAATATATTCCTATTTTATTCTTTTTGATAATATCTTAAAAGTAATTGCTTTCTTAATTTCATGCTAAATTATTCATTACAAATATATAGAAACACAATATTTTTGTATATTGAAAGTGTATCAGAGATAAGCAGAGCAAGATGGCAGAATACAAGCCTCCATTGATCATCCCCTCTCCAAGGACACCAATTTAAAAACTATACGCAGCCAGGAGCAGTGGATCATCATGCTTGTAATCTCAGCACTTCGGGAGGCCAAGGTGGGTAGATTGCTTGAGACCAGGAGTTCGAGACCAGCCTGGCCAACATGGCGAAACCCCATCTCTACTGAAAACATAAAAATTAGCTGGGCGTGGTGGCACAAGCCTGTGATCCTGGCTACTCCGGAGGCTGAAACACGAGAATTTCTTGAACCTGGGAGGCAGAGGTTGCAATGAGCCAGGATCATGCCACTGCATCGAAAGTGAGGTATGGTAACCTCCAACTATTATTATTATATATTATTATTAAAAAGCCTATTTCTCTCTTTAATTCTGTCAATGTGTTTTATATATTTGAGGATTACATTTTATGGTTATATATGTTTCTAATTGCTGTATCTTCTTAAATAATGGAACTTTCATCATTCTATAATGATGTTCTTTGGCTCTTTTAACATTTTTTGACTTAAAGCTCATTTATAATTGTAGTATAGCCACTCCAGCTCACTTTTGGTTGTTGTTTGCCAGTGGTCACCAACCCTGGATGTACATCAGTGGTACCTGGGTACCTGCAACAAAATACATATTCCAGGCCCAACTCTAGGCCTACTGAATTATCCTCAGTTTGGAAGGAGTCTAGAAACCTATATTATCAAAATTATCCCTGCCCAGATCACTTGTGTAGTTAATCCATGTATTAGAATAAATTGGGGAACCACCACTTGCACAGCATAATGCCACCATGGTCCAACATCTCCATTTGTAAAAGGGAGAATGTTAGGCCCAGGAAATTTAAGTGTCTTCACAGACCATGTAGGAGATCACATCAAGTCTCCTGAGTAAGCATTCAAGTCTACTAAGTAATTAGAGTAAGTACACTGAGTAAGCCTGCTAAGTCTTCCTCTATTCTGTTTCCATTATGTTATGCTGCACAAAATGTGAAATCACAATGCTGTTTATTCTTACTCTAGTAATTGTCTTAGTTTGAGTCCCCTAGAAAATAAAACCTTAAGCAATAATTAAATACGAATACTTTATTTGGGAGATGCGAATTCAGGGCACTGAGAGTGGAAAAATAAAAATAGAAACAAGGAAGGGAAGGATGGGAGGTAAAGCAATGCATGATACATGAGCCGTTGCCTCAGTATCCACAACTTACCTCTGTGAATACAATCATGCATGGCTTAACAAAGGGGATACATTCTGAGAAATGCCTTGTTAGGTGGTTTCATCTTTGTACGAACATCACAGTGTACTTACACCAACCTAGATGGTATAGCCTACTAATCACCTAGGCTATATGGTACAACCTGTTGCTCTGAGGCTACAAACCTGCACACCAAGTTACTGTACCAAATACTGTAAGCAATTGTAACACACTGCTAAGTATTTGTGTAGCTAAACATATCTAAACCTAGAAAAGGTACAGTACAAATGGGGTATAAAATATTTTAAAAAAGATATACCTGTACAGGATACTTACCATGTATGGAACCTATAGGACTGGAAATTGCTCTAGGAGAGTCAGTGAATGAGTGGTGAGTGAATGTGAAGTCCTAGAAGATTACTGTACATTCCTGTAGACTTTATAAACACTGATACTTAGGCTACACTAAATTTATTTTTTTAATTTTATATAATAAATTAATCTTGGCTTACTATAACTTTTTTGCTTTATAAACTTCTTAGTATTTTTAAACTTGTTGACTCTTGTAATAAAACTTAGCTAAAACATATGTAGCTGTACAAAAATATTTTCTTTCTTTATATCCTTATTCTATAAATTTTTTTACTTTAAAGTTTATTTATTTATTTATTTTACTTCTTAAACTTCTTTGTTAAAAACTAAGACACAAGCACACACATTACCCTAGGCCTACACAGAGTCGGGATCATCAATATCACTATCTTCCACCTCCACATCTTGTCCCACACTGGAAGTTCTTTAGGAACAATAGCATGCATGGAGCTGTCATCTCCTATAATAACTATAATAACAATATTTTATTTTGGAATACCTCCTGAAGTAACTGCCTGAGACTATTTTACAGTTAATTTTTAGCAGGACACCCTAAAATAACAAGAAAAAGTATAGTATAATAAATACATAAATCAACAACACAGGCTGGTAATTATTTGCCATGGCAAATAAATTCTGGTAATTTATTACCATAAAGTTTTATGAACTGTACATAATTGTATGTGCTAGGCTTTTATACCACTTGGCAGCTCAGTAGGTTTGTTTACACCAGCATCACCACATAATATGCACTGCAGCAGGACATTATGACGTCACTAGGCAGTAGGAATTCTTCATCTCCATTATAATCTTATGGGACCACCATCATATAGGCACTCAGTGGTTGACCAGATAGTGCATGACTGTATATGCATCAGATTGCTCAGCAGGTGTCTCTGCAAAGTACCCTTGAGCCATCAATGTGAGAGAGAAAAGAAAAGGAATTTTATCTGCATATTTACTTCCTTGTCTCCTGTTCCTGTTTGCTAAACTTTACTCCATGGCCCTAGCATTTAAGGTGGCATTCTCTAGCTAAGATGTCAAATTCCATGCTCTACCAAGGCAAAAGGAGCCTGAAACTGAGCATGGGGGCAGGTCTGCTTGGTTGTAAAGGAGCAGTGAAGGGGTTGGCTCTATTGCTTCTGATGCAAGATATAGGTCACCCCCAAGCAGAGGAACCTGGAAAAAAAGACAAGTGGCTGAGGTTGATGGAGGTGGTGGCAGCGAAGGAATTGGAGTAAGCACATAAAAAAATTGGAGGAGGCACATAAAATGTATCACATACAGAAATGTTGTCTGTTGGGATTCAATCAGAATGGTGGCAGAAATATTAGGGAAAGTTATAGGGAATAGTCACAAACCTTTTGGAAGGCCGAAAGGTTACATAGCTTGTAATAATTGAACAGGCTGAAGGCAGCTGGTGCTTACCTTAGAGCATTAGGTCATAGGGTAAATACTAGGGACAATAGAGGCTTCCCCAGTTAAGTCTGTTTACCCTACCTCCATTAACTAACCTTTGAGCCAGATGGCCCTCTCCGGGGGAGGTCAACTAGGGATG
Source organism: Homo sapiens (assembly GCF_000001405.40). Classification (NCBI taxonomy): domain Eukaryota; kingdom Metazoa; phylum Chordata; class Mammalia; order Primates; family Hominidae; genus Homo; species Homo sapiens. The sequence goes on from NC_000023.11 coordinate 36,215,899, forward strand.
TTGCCCCCTAATGGTATTTATTTCAGACCATGGTACCTGAGTTTTAATCATTCTGAGAACTACTCTCTTAACCATGTTAATTACCCACAAGTGTGTTGACTCAGAGCTTCTGTTGTTAATTGTATATGAAATAAATGCCTGGAGTGCAAGCTGCTCAGGGCTGGCCGCAGTGACAAACCTCTCTTGGTGGGCAGGCGGTCAGACACTCAGCAGGACTGGCAAAATAGAATATCTGTGTGTCAGTGTACGTTTTATTCATCCGTCATTTGGGTCAGGGTCTGCGGGCAGAGCCCCGCAGCTAATGCCCTCTTGTGAGAAGCAATACCTCAGTTGTAGTATTGTTATTTTAAAGAAGTCTACTAGTTACATTGTCAGTAGCATTAAATGTACTAAATTTCTGATTTCTTTCTCTTCCCCCTACCATCCCTGTTGACATGTTCCATCCCAGGTCCTGAGCCAATTTCTATCTCAGGAGTGGGTTCCAGAGGCCCATCTGTGCTGACCACCAGTCTCCCATGTCCTACTTGCAGTCTAATGAGTACCAGTCTGATGCTGGATCTGTTAGCCCTGGCTCCTCATTTACATTGTAACCACCCAATGGGTTCTCCTTGCCTGCTGCCTAGACAGAGCCAATTTATCAAAACAGGGGAATTGTAATAGAGTTTAATTTATGCAGAGCTGGCTGTATGGGAGACTCGAGTTTTATTATTACTTAAATTAGTCTCCCCAAGAATTCAAGGATCAGAGTTTTTAAGGATAATTTTTCAGGTAGGGGCTGGAGAAGTGGGGATTGCTTATTGGTCAGGTTGGAGATGAAATCACAGAGGGTAAAAGCCATCCTCTTGAACTGAGTCAGTTCCTGGGTGGAGGCCACAAGACCAGATGAGCCAGTTTATCATCTGGCTCCTGGCAGCTGATCCATCCAGGATACAGGGTCTACAAAATATCTCAAGCACTGATCTTGGGCTTTACAATAGTGATGTTATCTCCAGGAGCAATTTGGGGAGGTTCAGACTCCTAAGCCATAATTTCTAATCTTTTGTCTAATGTATTAGTTCCGTAAAGGCAGTCTTGTCCCCAGGTAGGAAGGGGATTTGTTTTGGGAAACAGCTGTTACCATCTTTGTTTCAAAGTTAAACTATAAACAGAGTTCCTCCCAAAGTTATTTTGGCTCATACCCAGGAATAAACAACAATGGCTTGGAGGTTAGAAGAAAGATGGACTCCATTGGATAAGATTTCTTTCACTGTCATTATTTTCTCAGTATTAATTTTTGCAAAGGTGGTTTCAGCATGATCCTTCTTTGTGATACATTTATTTCTGTCATGTCTGTCCCAGCACTCAGGCATAGATTTCTACTTTATTTCTTAACAGCCTAGTTTGTTTCTGCCAGCTCCCTCCCTGGGTACTGGTACACTCTTCCTGCCATCCATCATTGTTCTGGATAGCCCTAGGCCCCTCAAATAGGAATCTTTCCCTCAACTTGGGATCCTGGGTCTTTAACTGTGGAATTGGCGTCTTTTATACCAGCCTTACCCATTTCTTCTTTTCTCTATGCGACTCCCCTTATTTTAAGCTTGCTTCTTACTTTAGATAACCCCAGTGATAACTGTTACTTGATGGATATGCCTTTCTCCTGCTGCCCTCCCATACCTATCTTCTCATAGTCAGAGTCTGTACTTTGTTTAGTTGCAAATATATGCCCTGTGTACTTTGTTTAGTTACAAATATATGTCCTACTAACATTCTGGTTTTCTGCGCAATCCAAATTCTTTCCTCCTACTCTGCATGCACCAAACTACAATGAGATTTGATTGTGTTCTATGTTATTTAAAAAAATACACTTTAAGTCAAATAATGTAACATAACCAATTCAACATAATTGTAATATCCAAGACTGCATATATTCTTTGTCCTTATAGTTTTAATTTATTTTCAATTTGATAAATGACTCACTTTGCCTTTCATTGCTTTATATTTATAGACAGAGCTGGTAAGTAAAAAAAAAGTGAACTTTTAAAAAGTTTCTTGTTCTTTCTGTTAGGTCTTCAGTGGTAAACACATGCTCTACAATTATATATTTAGGGAGGCATTTAATCAGAAATTTCAGTAGTCTTTTCCATTATTTTAAGTCCTAGAAAACATGCTGTTTATTGGCTTGCTAGCAGCACATTCATACTAATTTGCACACTTAGTAAATCAGTCTGCAAAAATTAAAAATAAACTCTGTTCAAAACAGAATTTATATTTAATACAGGACAATTAGAGAAAGTTTATGGTATTCAGAAATGAAAATGCAAAATACAAAGTTAATTTGCTGTCAGCAATCCCTTGCTTCTTTCCATGTGGAGGGGTTAATTAGAAAGTGAAATCTTACATCAGTTGTTCTCTTTGGGTAATTTTGTCTTCTTAGAAAATAATAGAAAACTTACTATTTAAAATGCTATCAAGCTAGAACTCCTTGAAAGGTCCCCTCCTAATTTTTCATTAAATGACCCATGAAGGCCTACAGAAATCCGAAAATTCAACAGCAGCTAGCCATTTACATGTATCCTATGAGGAATTCCCAAAAATGACCACAACTGTAGGGGATTATCTGGAGGAACATCACTCTATCAATAATGTATAGAATCTCACATGAGATCTGGTAGTAGTGGTGGCAGAGATGGGAAGAGTCTACGTGAGTTGTGGTGCATTTTGTTGATGAAAAAGCCAAACTCTGTGAAATATTTAAAGAGGTTTATTCTGAGCCAATATGAGTGACCATAGACAGGAGAACAATCTCAGGAGGTCTTGAGAAAGTGCCTGAGATGGTCGAGTTACAGTTTGGTTTTATACATTTTAGGGAGACAAGTTACAGGGAAAGACATAAGGCAATACATACATGTAATGTATACATTGGTTTGGCCTAGAAAAGTCAAACATCTCAATGTGAGGACAGGGAGGGCTTATTACAGTTATAGAAGGATTCAAAGGTATTCTCATTGGCAATTGGGTTAAAGAGTTAAGCTGAAGACTTGCAGTCCTGGAAATCTGCTTGGAAAGAAATGCTTGAGTTAAGATAAATGGAGTTGTGGAAGCCAAGGTTCTTGTTATGTAGATGAAGCCTCCGGATAGCAAGCATCAGAGACAATAGATGCTAAATGTCTTTTTTTCAGACCTTAGAAGGTATCAGATGCTTAGTTAATCTCTCCTGGATCAGGAAAGGCCTTAGATGCATTAATGAAGATTCTCTACAGATACAAAATTACTCCCACAAAAGACAGAAGATTTGCAGGGCCATTTCAAAATATGTCAAAGACATGTATTTGGGGGTAAAATGATTTTATTTCATTCAGGGTTTGTTATTTGCCATGTGATGCTATACCAGAGTCAGTTTGGAATATGGTATCTTATTGACAAAAAGAGTCTGTTTCATCAGTCTTATGATATCTATTTAATCTTAATGATGGTCAATTGTGTCTAAACTCCAAAAGGGAGAGGGTATAACAAAGCATGTCCAACCTCCCTTTCCATCATGGCTGGTAATTCAATGTTTCAGGTTTCCCTTGGCCCAGAGGGGGTCCGTTCACTTGCCTAAGTGGTTGGGGTTATATTTTTGGCTGTAATATTATTGGTGGGACAAGAGTTTATTGTGAAAGGAAACTAAATCTTGAGGTCCCAAAATCACTATGCTAAAGGGAAAAGTCAAGCTGGGAACTGCTTAGGGCAAACCTGCCTCTCATTCTATTCAAAGTAACCCCTCTGCTCACTGAGATAAATGCATATCTAATTGCCTCCTTTGGAGAGGCTAATCAGAAACCCAGAAAAATACAACCATTTGTCTCTTATCTACCTATAACCTAGAAGCCCCCTCCCCTCTTCGAGTTGTCCCACCTTTGCCCACCTTTTCGGACTGAACCAATGCACATCTTACACATATTGATTGATGTCTCATGTCTCTCTAAAATGTATAAAACCAAGTTGTGCCCCGACCACCTTGAGCACATGTTGTCAGGACCTCTTGAGACTGTGTCACATCACGGGTGTGCATCCTCAACCTTGGCAAAATAAACTTTCTAAATTAACTGAGACCTGTCTCAGATTTTCAGGGTTCACATTATTGATTATAGGTTGAGTAAAACCAACGTGGAAATCCAAAATTTGAATGTTCCAAAACCCCAAATGCTCAAAATCAGAAACGTTTTGATCACCAACATGGTGCCACAGGTGGAAAATTTCACATTTGATCTCATATTAGGTCACAGTCAAAAGGCAGTCAAAACTTGTTTCATGAACAAAGTTACTTAAAATGTCATGTAAAATTACCTTCAGGCTATGTATATAATGTGTATATGAAACGTAAATGAATTTCCTGTTTAGACTTGGGTCCTATCCCTAAGTTATCTCATTATGCATATGCGTGTATTCCGAAATCTGAAAAATTCTGAAATCTAAAATACTTCTGGCCCCAGGCATTTCAGATAAGGAATACTCAACCTGTTAACACAAAGATATATATATATCCTGTTTGTATATGTATACATATATATGTTATATATATATTTTTAAGATGTAAATTTTTCTTTAGATCATTACAAAACTGCCAGGGCGTGAAAAACCAAACAAACAAACAAGTACCCTATCTACATTTAATAGGTAGATGCTTGTTTGATACAGGAAATGGGCCCAAGGGCTGCATATTGAGTTACCTCCATAGTTAGAACTAAGAGATTGCTGTAAAGTAAATATGGAATGAGGTCCTCTACAAGTGACCACCTAAGACAGATAAATTTCTTATCTTACTAGGAGCAAATAAGAATAAGGAAAAGCAGAAATAAAATGTCTACAATTCCAGAAGACAATAGAAGAATACCTAAATTTACACGTAGATAGATAGGTCATAGTGAAACCATAGAATGGCAAAGATAAGAGAAATTCCAAAAAGCAATGAGAGAAAAAAGCAGATTATTTTTAAAGGAACAAAAGTTATACTGAAGGCAGAATTACCAACAGTAACATTAGAAGCCAAAAGACAATAGCATTATAGTGCTGATGAAAATTAACTACCAGTCTAGAATTTTATGTCCTAGTGAACTATCACTCATGAGTAAAGATGAAATAATAACATTTGTAATTTAACAATGAACTTGAGACCATTTAAAACTCAGAGATTTTGGTAAAAGAACAAGTAGAAGGCCTCTTATTGGTGAAGGAAATTGAATTCAGAAGAGAGAATTGGGATCCAAGAACAATGGTTACTAAAATAATCAGTAAATGTGGGTAACTCCCATGAGGATTTGACTGTAGAAATAATGATAAGAATAAATAATTCGGGTGTTACCAAAACAAAGTGAGCTCAATTACTAGATAGCAACTTTATAAGGAAGGGTTTGCCATTATAGGCAAGTAAAGTTCTTACATTTTAGGGACCAGGGTTGAATTACTGTAAGATATTTTTATGTGAAGTATTAGATGTTGAATATTTGGGGCAATGAAAAGTATAGGGATAGAATGTATAATTTCTAAACCAGTAGAGGCATAAATGAAAATAAACAAAACTTGATGAATTCAATAGAATTCAAGAATAGAAAAGAACAAAATAAAATGGGATAAAGTGTGGCAAAAAATGAGATGTTAAAATAAACACAAATATATCATTAATCACAATAAATATGAACAGACTAAACTATAAAAGGTGATATTTTCACAATGAAAACTAAAATGTAGCTTTATACTGTTTATAAAATTTCCTGGTAAAATATCAAAAAACCTATACCAGGTATTTACTAATCATAAAATAGTTGGCATAGATATATTAATATTAAAACAAGTAGACTTTGTGGTAAATAAAGTATTACTTAATTCAAAAAGGGAAAAATCCAACTTAGAGAAGAAACTTTGAAATTATTTATACCTGAACACATATTCTCAAAATGTATAAAGCCAAAATCAATTAATGTGAAAAGAGAAATGAACAAATTCTAAATTACAGTGGAAGATCTTATTAGACCTCTCTCAATAATTGACAGATCAAGCAGACAGAAGGTTAATAAAGCCCTGCTAGACTTGAACAACAAAATTAATAAGTTTTTCTATAGCTCTTAAGGCTAGCTTGACTGTGCTGGTAATGATTGGCCATCCTTGCCATTTACATACTACAGCACTCTGGTATCTGTCTATGACCTTCTTTCCCTGTGCTTTAGGGCACCTGGGAGAATGTGCACTTAACAACTTTTCAGTAACAGGGAACTGCATACCAGTCTGCCCTGCTGGCAGATACTTACAAACTTCATGGGAAGGCAAGTCCAGTGCTTTCAGACATTTGAGGTTGGTCCGGCAGAAAGGATCACATGACATTCTTTTAGCATTCCAAATACTTTTCATTTTCCTTCCTCAATTCCTACTTCCCCTCTCCTTTATATTTATCCTCTTTTTTTCTTCTTTTCTTCCTTTCTTTCCTTTTCCTTTCCCCTCTCTCTTCCTATCACTCTTTGTCTTTTATCCCCTAAGTATTATATTATTTTAAATCTCCCTGGTAATAGAAAAGGAAAAGTAGTTCAACCTCTTTTTAAATAATAAAATGAATTTTAACCAATATTTTAAAAATTGAATTTGTCAATAATAAGTATAGGTCTTTATTATTTTAAATTATTTTATTGAATATTATAATAAATATAACAATTTAAGCAGTTAGTCCATTTTAGAAAATGGATTTTTTTCCTGAGTGGACCATATTACAAAATTTCTACTAATACAAATTTTTTACAAAATAAACACTGTAAATTTTTTAACTGCTGATTTCTTTTTTTAATGTCTATGGCTACATTTCATATTTTTATTAAAGAGGAAATAGTAATGAACAGTTTTTAGCGCAAAATCACTTTTCCAGAGTATTTGTGATTCAGATACTCATGTACATGCCTACAAAAATATAATAATATAACCAAAATGGGAAAAATTTCACTTTACTTGTGATATAGTTTGGATCTGTGTCCTTGCTCAAATCTCATTTCAAATTGTAATCACCATGTTGGAAGTGGGAACTAGTAGGAGGTGATTAGATCTTAGGGGTGGTTTCACATGAATGGTTTAGCACCATACTCTTGATGCTGTACTCAGGATAGTGAGTGAGTTCTAGTGAGGTCTGGTTGTTGAAAAGTGTATAGTACCTCCCCCTACTCTCTTCTCTTACTTGTGTTCCTGCCATGTAAGATGCCTGCTCCTGCTTTGTCTTCTGCCATGATTGTAAGTTTCCTGAGTCCTCCCCAGAAGCCAAGCAGATACTTCCATGCTTCCTTTATAGCTTACAGAACCGTGAGCAAATTAAACTTTTTTTTTAGTTAAATAAATTTCCCAGTCTCAGGTATTTCTTTATAGCAATGCGAGAATGGCCTAAGAGAGCAGGTAAGTTAGTCTTTTGACTTATACAATAGAAAAAAAGCCTACATTGAGTTTTTAGCAGTAGATGGCAGTGTGATTAACAAATAGGCCAAAAAATTCTCTAAAATATAATTATTCATGTTTTCTTATAATAAATATTATACAATTATGTATATACATGTAATAAATATAATTATTCATTCTTAATTATTCATTTTCTGAATTAAAAGCTCTGACTATTGTTTGTTAATAATATACCAAAAACAACTATAGAAGGCAGTGTTCAACTTACTATATTACTTAATCTCTTCCATATGTTTGATGTGTTTTTATACAATTATGACCTATTAAGGCACAAACAAGTCTAATAAATTAGTTAATCAAATTATATTCTATGAAGCCCCAAAATTCTTCTGAAGTGCTTTGGCTTATCTATAGTGAGGCCATGGAAGTAAATGGGGACTTCTAGCTCCTCATTCTACTTCAACCAGATTAACTCCAGTTTCCTTTGTTTTATATGTTAATTCAATTTTAAATATTGTTCATACACAGTACGTCTAAGCCAGAAAATAAAAATTTTTGAAAGCTATTAATCAAATCCCACTCATTGAAAGAGGTTAAGAAGTTTGGAGGGACGTGTGGGTTGAAAAACTACTTATTGGGTATTATACCCACTACCTGGGTCCAATATACCCATGTAAAAATTCAATACATGTACCTCCCTGTATCTAAAATAAAAGCTAAAATTAAAAAAATTATAAAGTTAAAAATTGTTTTAAAAATTGATGTTCTTAAATAGTTGGGAGGATATTAAAATAATGCTTATGTCTTAACTTTCACAACTATTTTTAGATGGCTTTCAGTTTTAAAATCACATGCCAAAAATATCTGGGAGGGACTACCTTGTATCCATGGGGGGAAATAAACCCTTTTCTGGTATTAAAAATATATAGAGTACATTTAGAAAATAAACTTGTGGTTGAAAAATGAAAGGAAAAAAAAAGAAGTTGAGTTTAAAAAAAAACCTTAAGTTGTTTGCTTAAGGTCACACAATGTAGAATTGGAACCAAAACTGAAAAAAAGTGTTTTAACTCTCAGTTGATTTTATCTTTTTCAGGTCACAAGTTTTATACATGTATGTTTCTCTGCAGTTAGGGAATTGTAGATTATTACAGTAAAAGCCCAAGTGGATCATATCTGCCTTTACACAGGTTTTGTATAGTCTCCCTTTCCTCGTTGACCTGGTTGTGGCCATGTGACTTGCTTTGGACAAAGGATCATTTAGGAATGGGAAAGAGGCAGATATTTGATAGCTTCTTTTACATTAGTCTCTTTTTTGCTGCTGGTAATTCTTCTGTACTCTATGAAAAATGATTGGGCTCATCTCATACAGGATTTGAGTGCTCATGGACAGAATTCCCAGCTGAGATCCAAAGACCACAGTCAATACCCAGTATATACACAGGTCAAAATACCCAGGTAGTACCATGTGGAGATGATAAGCTGTCCTAAATGAGCTCAGGCCACAGAATTATGAGCAAATGAATGGTTGTTGCTTTAAATCACTAAGTTTTTGGGTAGTTTGTTATGCAGTTGTAGCTGAACAAAACAATGGTATTGATTTTTTGTTCCAACTATGACCTATTCTAGGATCTGAACATAGTATATTTTTATGGGTTATTTGAAAAACTGTAGATAGCACTGATTTCTTCCAATAACCAAAGTTAAATGAAATGATGTAGTCTTTACTTCAAGAAATTCTTTCTTTATGTTTATTTTCTTCAGTAATTGTAATTTTTCTGTAAATTTACATATATTCGGTTATCTTTAAATATAGAATCTTGACAATTGCCACACTTGTAAAGAAAAGATACAGGTTAACTACATCTGAGTTGAGTAGGGATGGAAGGGACAGATCCAGATAGTCCCTAACATTTGTTATGCCCAAGTCAAGAGTACAAATGGAAACCCACATAACATATGTCTAAATTTTAAAAACTTACAAATCAAACTAACACATTTCAAAATAGAATACATTCTATTATTCCATTTTAACAAATCTAACCTTATAAGAACCTTGAAGACCAAGTTTGAATTTAGAATTTTTGGACTCCTCAGAGTTTTGCACTAGAAAATGACAGCACAGGGTAGCTGGGTGCTAGTCAGGTGCCCACATCATTGTCTTCTTTCAACTCTTACATGCACTCTAATGGTTCTTATGTTTAAACATGTGGATATGTCAGCCCACACACTTACTCTTGGTCCATACCCTCCTAATAGTGACCTCTTAGTTACTGCACAGTTCTAGGAGTCTTCTACCAAGAGGACTGACCTAGGGAAGAGTCTTGTGAAAGCACTGTAAACAGGATCAAGGAACTATGGATTGTGAATTATAATGTCTCATGAACTTGAACCATGGGTGGGGCTGGGATCCATAGAGATCTGTCCCATTGGGCCCATGTACTTCTTGCACGTGCAGAGAGGCAATGCCAGAGGAGGATCAGAGTAAGGCCCTAGAAAGCATGAGACCAGGACAGGAACCTCTCTATCCTGGGATTTAGGGCATGTGTTAAGCTAGGTAATTCCAAAGCAGACCCTGAGATCTGGTCTTGAGAGCAAGTAGTTTGAGAGGTGATCCCAAAGCATAGGTAGGGGAGTAGGAGACTGCAAAGAGAAGAAACCAATTCCAGGGATTTTAATTATCAGGTTATCATTGCAGGCAATTGGGACTCAGTCCCACTGGGGGCCTCTGGAAGTTGGTGTCAAATTCACCTCAGAGTTCTTCTAACCAAAGGGCAAGAAAACAGATTTTTTTGTTCGTTTGTTTTTTAGCAATTTTGATCAATTTTTGGTTTGGTACTGCTCCTGCAGGCTTTTACTACCACTTCTGGATGATCTATGTGAGAACTGAGTACCATTCTTTGTCTAGAGAGAACTTTCAAGGAGGAAGTCACACATATCCATAAATCCATGCCCTTTAAGGCATACTTAAAGGGGACATGTCAAGGCATGGACAGCATTTGCTACAGTCCAGAATTGGAAATAGATTTAAGAAAACATGTCCCATTATTATATGATGGCACAATGTGTCCAGTAAAATTTCCAAATTTCTGAAGATCAAAATGGTTTCTACCTCTGCTAGTTTACATCTGATGGGGACGCAAATACTGTCAAATAAATATCTTAACCCAGAAGTTTTTAAATCTCTTATTTATAATATATATCACCCCTACTTATGTTTCTTATACAACTTAATAAAATTATTTTGGATATTTAAAAATGAAACAGATATTGATTTATAAATACATCATCAAAATTAAAATTATAATTTCCACAAATTCCACTATTATAATGATTTACTTTTTGGATTTGTAAGAGAGAGGGGCTGACATTGTGTAGCCCTTAAAGTCCTTGCTCATAAACATTTCATGAGTTGGAAAATGTACACTTAAGAATGTCTTTGGCTTTAACTTTCAGACTCAGCAATCATTAGGAAATGAACATTTTTTTTGGAAAAAGAAATGTATAACATAAAGCTTTTGACAGAAATTTTATACTTGAACTTGTGCGTTGCAATGATTGTGTAGCATTAAATAGCAAGAGGTTTTTATCTTTGATGAAAACAATAGATATTCTGCAATTCTTAAAATTGTCTGAACAGTTTAATTCTTATATAAATAAAATAAACGTAAATTAATAGAATTCTATTTAAATTACATATTCTAAATATTTTTATTTCATTCTCTTCATCCAAGAAAAAAAAATGAGTTCTGTTTATGCCTGTTATTAAAACAACAAATAATTTTCTGTGCTGATTTGTTCTATTGAGATTGCCACAACACAAATACCTCTCTCAGGATAAAAGTAATCAATTAACAACAGATGATAAAATGTGCCTGGAGTCCTTTTTGCCAAGAAAAAAATGTGTTCTAAAATTAGGTTTATGCTTGAATAGGATGGAACAAAAATAACATTCTGAGAGCCTTTGAGAGTAACTGTTTTCTCCTCAGACCAGCTGAAGTCTTGAACTTGTTGGATGTAATACAAATTTCAAATATTATCCATTATCAGCATGTTTTAATATGTACTATTCAATGTAGCATTATACATTATATATATTGTATTACATATAGCAACATAGACATGGAATATATGCTATATAATATTCAATTAATATAAGATATGTAACATTACATAATGTATAATTTATAACACACACATAAACTCTTGTTTGATAAAGGATTTAGGGTAGTTAATGTTCTTGCATAGAATGTTCTTGCGTATAAATGTTCTTGCATATCTTGGCATATACATTTCATTGTATTTGAAAACAACATGCCACCTTTCACATTTGAAGTGTTCACTTTGGGAGAATTAAAATTGTAGCCATTTAATGTCATAATATGTGTCTGGCCAATTGATTGATATGCTTGATTTGTTTTCTTGGTTTCAGAGAACTTCCTTGTACAGAATTAGGCGTCAGATGTTTTTAAAATCATTTGTTGTTTGTTGACTATTTAAATAGTTTGGCATTAACTATGAAACTTTTATTATGTTCTTATACTGCATTCTACTTTAGGGTTGCCAAATTTTTATAACTATTTTCTCATTTTATGGATGCCAAGGAAATGGTGACCTTCAGAGAAAAAGTGGTGTTGCCTGAAAGGAAAGAATGAGAATAGATAGCTCAACCTAGCGTAAGAAGTAAAATTAGCTAGTAGCTTAAGGTAAATGTTGTAACGGGGTGTTATGAGAAGTATTAATTACACATGCACTTTTCTGGTTCCCTTGGTTATTAGCTATGAAAAAATTATTTCTATCTGCTGGCCAAGTTGCAAATTATTTTGATTGCTGTGAGACAGAGCACCTCTAAGTCATAGAAATGTGGCTGACAGTAAAGCCCATCTAATATTGCATGTATTTCCTTCTATCTCAGCCCCCTTTCTATTAGGTAGAGTCACATAGCTGGGTCTGGCCAGTTAAATGTAATGTTTATATTAATTTTGAGCTGAAAACTGAAAAGTCCTTGAGCAAACTTCCAGCCATTCCTTTTCCCCTGACCTCTCAGCCAAAGAGCAGAGACATTTCTTATGGTACAAATGCAAGATGGTGGTATCTTTCACAGTATGGAGTCCTGAGTGACTTTGAGGAGCACACTGTTCTCTGACCAGTGCAGTATATATACTCTAATTGATAAATAAGCTTGCATGGTAAGCCCTGGAGATTTAGAAGTATTGTGTTATCCCAGTGAAACCTATTCTAGGTTATGCAGTACAATTTAATACAATAATATTAAATATTGCTTACCAAGATGAATTTTAGGTTTTATATGATTTTAAATGAACTGTTTTAAAATTATTTTGATAGCTTCAGATGGATCTGTTCCACTTCCTTTGCAATTTCTTCCTCTCCAATCTGGACGCTACCCTTGTAAAATTTTATTGAAATCAAGGTATGATGTGCGTGCCTATTATGTTGAAGGTATTGTGAATGAAGAACAACCAGAGGCCAAATTTGAGTTTGAAACACCAGCATTTGAAGCCCTTACTCAGAATATTCCAATAGTATGTATAAACTTTTTTGGTACCTTTCTTTATTCATATTGCCACTGTGTCAATTAAAGTCCTCCAGACCTCTCATCTTGGACTATTACAAATTTCTGACTGTCTTATCTGCTGTCAATTATTTCTTCATATTTATGTCAGAATCTCTTCCTAAATATAAATGTTATTATGTTACTCATCTCATTAATCACTTCTGCTGGCTCTTTGCTTAAAACAATTAACTCCAATGTCCTTAATGTATCATTAAATTCCTTCTTGCTTCAACAAGCAGAGTTATGGACTCTCAGGTCACTCTACTCTAAATTCTGTTGTGATCTAACACTTGGTTAAGATGGGTTCATAGGCACTGAGAACAATGATTGCCTGTAGCTTGGCTACCTATTAGTCAAAGTGACAATATAGTGTAAAAGAAGGTAAGATAATTGTAAAGAACTTTGGCTTTTTAGAGGGATAAATTGCCTTTTTTGGTTTATTTGTCTAATTATTAAAGACATGACAAAAGTCAATCTGAAGCACAAAATTTTGTTCTGATGAGATATATAATCTTTGCTATGTGAGCAACATACCAGGTAGAATGACAATTATTACCTTGAATTAGAAGTAAAGTGTGTCCTCTAAGGCCATTTTATCATCTTAATGGTAATTAGTAAGTGAGACAAAGGGAATTTCTTTAGATATTAAATGATCCTTCGATAGATCTATTAGGCAATGCTCTTATGTGACATAGAAAGAACATGTAGTCATCATTATGCCTTATGTTTACATTTTTGATATTTATTCTTTTTTTATTTTATTATTATTATACTTTAGGTTTTAGGGTACATGTGCACAATCTGCAGGTTAGTTACATATGTATACATGTGCCATGCTGGTGTGCTGCACCCATTAATTCGTCATTTAGCATTAGGTATATCTCCTAAAGCTATCTCTCCCCCCTCCCCCCACCCCACAACAGTCCCCAGAGTGTGATGTTCCCCTTCCTTTGTCCATGTGTTCTCATTGTTCAATTCCCACCTATGAGTGAGAATATGCGGTGTTTGGTTTTTTGTTCTTGCGATAGTTTACTGAGAATGATGATTTCCAATTTCATCCATGTCCCTACAAAGGACATGAACTCATCATTTTTTATGGCTGCATAGTATTCCATGGTGTATATGTGCCACATTTTCTTAATCCAGTCTATCATTGTTGGGCATTTGGGTTGGTTCCAAGTCTTTGCTACTGTGAACAGTGCCGCAATAAACATACGTGTGCATGTGTCTTTATAGCAGCATGATTTATAGTCCTTTGGGTATATACCCAGTAATGGGATGGCTGGGTCAAATGGTATTTCTAGTTCTAGATCCCTGAGGAATCGCCACACTGACTTCCACAATGGTTGAACTAGTTTACAGTCCCACCAACAGTGTAAAAGTGTTCCTATTTCTCCACATCCTCTCCAGCACCTGTTGTTTCCTGACTTTTTAATGATGCCATTCTAACTGGTGTGAGATGGTATCTCATTGTGGTTTTGATTTGCATTTCTCTGATGGCCAGTGATGATGAGCATTTTTTCATGTGTTTTTTGGCTGCATAAATGTCTTCTTTTGAGAAGTGTCTGTTCACGTCCTTCACCCACTTTTTGATGGGGTTGTTTGTTTTTTTCTTGTAAATTTGTTTGAGTTCATTGTAGAATCTGGATATTAGCCCTTTGTCAGCTGAGTAGGTTGCAAAAATTTTCTCCCATTTTGTAGGTTGCCTGTTCACTCTGATGGTAGTTTCTTTTGCTGTGCAGAAGCTCTTGAGCTTAATTAGATCCCATTTGTCAATTTTGGCTTTTGTTGCCATTGCTTCTGGTGTTTTAGACATGAAGTCCTTGCCCACGCCTATGTCCTGAATGGTAATGCCTAGGTTTTCTTCTAGGGTTTTTATGGTTTTAGGTCTAACGTTTAAGTCTTTAATCCATCTTGAATTAATTTTTGTATAAGGTGTAAGGAAGGGATCCAGTTTCAGCTTTCTACATATGGCTAGCCAGTTTTCCCAGCACCATTTATTAAATAAGGAATCCTTTCCCCATTGCTTGTTTTTCTCAGGTTTGTCAAAGATCAGATAGTTGTAGATATGCGACGTTATTTCTGAGGGCTCTGTTCTGTTCCATTGATCAATATCTCTGTTTTGGTACCAGTACCATGCTGTTTTAGTTACTGTAGCCTTGTAATATAGTTTGAAGTCAGGTAGTGTGATGCCTCCAGCTTTGTTCTTTTGGCTTAGGATTGACTTGGCAATGCGGGCTCTTTTTTGGTTCCATATTAACTTTAAAGTAGTTTTTTTCCAATTCTGTGAAGAAAGGCATTGGTAGCTTGATGGGGATGGCATTGAATCTATAAATTACTTTGGGCAGTATGGCCATTTTCATGATATTGATTCTTCCTACCCATGAGCATGGAATGTTCTTCCATTTGTTTGTATCCTCTTTTATTTCCTTGAGCAGTGGTTTGTAGTTCTCCTTGAAGAGGTCCTTCACATCCCTTGTAAGTTGGATTCCTAGGTATTTTATTCTCTTTGAAGCAATTGTGAATGGGAGTTCACTCATGATTTGGCTCTCTGTTTGTCTGTTATTGGTGTATAAGAATGCTTGTGATTTTTGTACATTGATTTTGTATCCTGAGACTTTGCTGAAGTTGCTTATCAGCTTAAGGAGATTTTGGGCCGAGACAATGGGGTTTTCTACGTATACAATCATGTCATCTGCAAACAGGGACAATTTGACTTCCTCTTTTCCTAATTGAATACCCTTTATTTCCTTCTCCTGCCTGACTGCCCTGGCCAGAACTTCCATCACTATGTTGAATAGGAGTGGTGAGAGAGGGCATCCCTGTCTTGTGCCAGTTTTCAAAGGGAATGCTTCCAGTTTTTGCCCATTCAGTATGATATTGGCTGTGGATTTGTCATAGATAGCTCTTATTATTTTGAGATACATCCCATCAATACCTAATTTATTGAGAGTTTTTAGCATGAAGGATTGTTGAATTTTGTCAAAGGCCTTTTCTGCATCTATTGAGATAATCATGTGGTTTTTGTCTTTGGTTCTGCTTATATGCTGGATTACATTTATTGATTTGCGTATATTGAACCAGCCTTGCATCCCAGGGATGAAGCCCACTTGATCATGGTGGATAGGCTTTTTGATGTGCTGCTGGATTCGGTTTGCTAGTATTTTATTGAGGATTTTTGCATCAATGTTCATCAAGGATATTGGTCTAAAATTCTCCTTTTTGGTTGTGTCTCTGCCCGGCTTTGGTATCAGGATGATGCCGGCATCATAAAATGAGTTAGGGAGGATTCCCTCTTTTTCTATTGATTGGAATAGTTTTAGAAGGAATGGTACCAGTTCCTCCTTGTACCTCTGGTAGAATTCGGCTGTGAATCCATCTGGTCCTGGACTCTTTTTGGTTGGTAAGCTATTGATTATTGCCACAATTTCAGAGCCTGTTATCGGTCTATTCAGGGATTCAACTTCTTCCTGGTTTAGTCTTGGGAGAGTGTATGTGTCAAGGAATTTATCCATTTCTTCTAGACTTTCTAGTTTATTTGCGTAGAGGTGTTTGTAGTATTCTCTGATGGTAGTTTGTATTTCTGTGGGATTGGTGGTGATATCCCCTTTATCATTTTTTATTGCGTCTATTTGATTCTTCTCTCTGTTTTTCTTTATTAGTCTTGCTAGTGGTCTATCAATTTTGTTGATCCTTTCAAAAAACCAGCTCCTGGATTCATTAATTTTTTAAAGGGTTTTTTTGTGTCTCTATTTCCTTCAGTTCTGCTCTGATTTTAGTTATTTCTTGCCTTCTGCTAGCTTTTGAATGTGTTTGCTCTTGCTTTTCTAGTTCTTTTAATTGTGGTGTTAGGGTGTCAATTTTAGATCTTTCCTGCTTTCTCTTGTGGGCATTTAGTGCTATAAATTTCCCTCTACACACTGCTTTAAATGTGTCCCAGAGATTCTGGTATGTTGTGTCTTTGTTCTTATTGGTTTCAAAGAACATCTTTATTTCTGCCTTCATTTCGTTATGTATCCAGTAGTCATTCAGGAGCAGGTTGTTCAGTTTCCATGTAATTGAGTGGTTTTGAGTGAGTTTCTTAATCCTGAGTTCTAGTTTGATTGCACTGTGGTCTGAGAGACAGTTTGTTATAATTTCTGTTCTTTTACATTTGCTGAGGAGAGCTTTACTTCCAAGTATGTGGTCAATTTTGGAATAGGTGTTGTGTGGTGCTGAGAAGAATGTATATTCTGTTGATTTGGGGTGGAGAGTTCTGTAGATGTCTATTAGGTCTGCTTGGTGCAGAGCTGAGTTCAAGTCCTGGATATCCTTGTTAATCTTCTGTCTCGTAGATCTGTCTAATGTTGAGAGTGGGGTGTTAAAGTCTCCCATTATTATTGTGTGGGAGTCTAATTCTCTTTGTAGGTCACTCAGGACTGGCTTTATGAATCTGGTTGCTCCTGTATTGGGTGCATATATATTTAGGATAGTTAGCTCTTCTTGTTGAATTGATCCCTTTACCATTATGTAATGGCTTCTTTGTCTCTTTTGATCTTTGTTGGTTTAAAGTCTGTTTTATCAGAGACTAGGATTGCAACCCCTGCCTTTTTTTGTTTTCCATTGGCTTGGTAGATCTTCCTCCATCCTTTTATTTTGAGCCTATGTGTGTCTCTGCCCGTGAGATGGGTTTCCTGAATACAGCACACTGATGGGTCTTGACTCTTTATCCAATTTGCCAGTCAGTGTGTTTTAATTGGAGCATTTAGTCCATTTACATTTAAGGTTAATATTGTTATGTGTGAATTTGATCCTGTCATTATGATGTTAGCTGGTTATTTTGCTGGTTAGTTGATGCAGTTTCTTCCTAGCCTTGACGGTCTTTACAATTTGGCATGATTTTGCAGTGGCTGGTACCGGTTGTTCCTTTCCATGTTTAGCGCTTCCTTCAGGAGCTCTTTTAGGGCAGGCCTGGTGGTGACAAAATCTCTCAGCATTTGCTTGTCTGTAAAGGATTTTATTTCTCCTTCACTTATGAAGCTTAGTTTGGCTGGATATGAAATTTTGGGTTGAAAATTCTTTTTCTTTAAGAATGTTGAATATTGGCCCCCACTCTCTTCTGGCTTGTAGAGTTTCTACCGAGAGATCCACTGTTAGTCTGATGGGTTTCCCTTTGTGGGTAACCGACCTTTCTCTCTGGCTGCCCTTAACATTTTTTCCTTCATTTCAACTTTGGTGAATCTGACAATTATGTGTCTTGGAGTTGCTCTTCTCGAGGAGTATCTTTGTGGCGTTCTCTGTATTTCCTGAATCTGAATGTTGGCCTGCCTTGCTAGATTGGGGAAGTTCTCCTGGATAATATCCTGCAGAGTGTTTTCCAACTTGGTTCCATTCTCCCCGTCACTTTCAGGTACACCAATCAGATGTAGATTTGGTCTTTTCACATAGTCCCATATTTCTTGGAGGCTTTGTTCATTTCTTTTTATTCTTTTTTCTCTAAACTTCCCTTCTCTCTTCATTTCATTCATTTCATCTTCCATCACTGACACCCTTTCTTCCAGTTGATCGCATCGGCTCCTGAGGCTTCTCCATTCTTCACGTAGTTCTCAAGCCTTGGCTTTCAGCTCCATCAGCTCCTTTAAGCACTTCTCTGTATTGGTTTTTCTAGTTTTACATTCGTTTAAATTTTTTTCAAAGTTTTCAACTTCTTTGCCTTTGGTTTGAATTTCCTCCTGTAGCTCGGAATAGTTTGATCATCTGAGGCCTTCTTCTCTCAACTCGTCAAAGTCATTCTCCATCCAGCTTTGTTCCATTGCTGGTGAGGAGCTGCGTTCCTTTGGAGGAGGAGAGGTGCTCTGCTTTTTAGAGTTTCCAGTTTTTCTGCTCTGTTTTTTCCCCATCTTTGTGGTTTTATCTACTTTTGGCCTTTGATGATGGTGAGGTACAGATGGGTTTTTGGTGTGGATGTCCTTTCTGTTTGTTAGTTTTCCTTCTAAGAGACAGGAGCCTCAGCTGCAGGTCTGTTGGAGTTTGCTAGAGGTCCACTCCAGACCCTGTTTGCCTGGGTACCAGCAGCGGTGGCTGCAGAACAGTGGATTTTCGTGAACTGCGAATGCTGCTGTCTGATCGTTCCTCTGGAAGTTTTGCCTCAGAGGAGTACCCGGCCGTGTGAGGTGTCAGTCTGCCCCTACTGGCGGGTGCCTCTAAGTTAGGCTGCTCGGGGGTCAGGGGTCAGGGACGCACTTGAGGAGGTAGTCTGCCCGTTCTCAGATCTCCAGGTGTGTGCTGGGAGAACCACTGCTCTCTTCAAAGCTGTCAGACAGGGACATTTAAGTCTGCAGAGGTTACTGCTGTCTTTTTGTTTGTCTGTGCCCTGCCCCCAGAGGTGGAGCATACAGAGGCAGGCAGGCCCCCTTGAGCTGCGGTGGGCTCCACCCAGTTCAAGCTTCCCAGCTGCTTTGTTTACCTAAACAAGCCTGGGCAATGGCAGGCGCCCCTCCCCCAGCCTCGCTGCTGCCTTGCAGTCTGATCTCAGACTGTTGTGCTAGCAATCAGCGAGACTCCGTGGGCGTAGGACCCTCCGAGCCAGGTGGGGGATATAATCTCCTGGTGCGCCATTTTTTTAAGCCTGTGGAAAAGCGCAGTATTGAGGTGGGAGTGACCCGATTTTCCAGGTGCCGTCTGTCATCCCTTTCTTTGACTAGGAAAGGGAACTCCCTGACCTCTTGTGCTTCCCGAGTGAGGCAATGCCTCGCCCTGCTTCGGCTCACACACGGTGCGCTGCACCCACTGTCCTGTGCCCACTGTCTGGCACTCCCTAGTGAGATGAACCCGGTACCTCAGATGGAAATGCAGAAATCACCCGTCTTCTGCATCGCTCACGCTAGGAGCTGTAGACCGGAGCTGTTCCTATTCGGCCATCTTGGCTCCAGCACATCGATATTTATTCTTAACAAATATGACTTTCCACTGGTGATTCCTTGGAAATACAATTAAAAATACAATATATAATGCTATAGAAATTACCAAGAATTCATATGTAATTCAATTTCATCAATATCATCTCTCTGATATTTCTGTACCTTTTTCATGCTTTAGAAAAATCAAACAAACGATAAATGGACCTTTCAAGTTACTATAGAAGGAGAATGGTTTTATGGACCTGTTGATTTACATGTTGGACCAGATGAAATTGTGGAGTATCCTCTCACATTCAAACCTATTTTTGAATGTGTCATTACGGTATGAACTCCTTGATATTTTCCCCAGTATTAATTAATAGTATCATTAGTTAATAAACTAATGTATGACATTAGTCTTTTAATTGATAGTACAACTGTTTAGTAGAAAAGTTAATATTTTCCATGAATTTGACTATTTTTACTTAAAACTTTAATACATGTTTTAATTTGAGGCATAAACATCATGAACATAACAATATTTTTGTCTGTGAATACTAGCATTCAAATTAATTTTGTACAACATGCTGAACAAAGTAAGATAATTACTTTTCCTTCCTATTCATTAAAGAAATTGGTGTATCAGAAAATACTTTCTTAAGACAATATTTCTTTTACATGGAAGTAGACATGCATATAATTGCTGTGTATGAAAATACCTATATACACTCTGTAATTTAGCAAGGGTAATCAGAAATAAATGACTTTTCACCAGAAATTTGTCTTTATGTGTTTTGTAGAAGCAGTTATTTGTGTATTGAAAAAGTCAATGGCTAACACCTCTCTACAAGCTCTTTTTATTAATCAGACACAAGAAGAATAAGATAGCAGAGGTTGTTTAACATTTATCTATGACTCCTATAGACCTGAAATTTGTCTGGTTTCTCATAGGGTAAACTTATTCTACAAAATGAAGTAGATGGTAGGGAGCACATCTTTGACATAAAAGGGGTTGGGAAAAAACCTTCGGCCTTGGAACACATCACTGTGGAATGTCAAGTGGGGAATGTGACACAAAAGCATATAACATTGCCTCATTTCACAAATACTGCCCTAACATTTAAGGTAAGAATTTATTTTTAGTGTGAAAGTGTTTTTTTCTGAATATAGTGAATCACATGAAATATAATAATTACAAACAATTTTTTAAACATTTAGTTTTACTTAATCAGTTGAAGCAATGTCACATAAGATGTCTACAATCCTACCTATTATTAGTCCAACAGCTTTTAAATATCATTTCAATTATAAAGTTGAATTAGGATGAAATAAGTCTTATATGTATATAACTATAAAGCACATTAAAATCTACTTATTTGAGTCATGTGCTTTTCATTGAAAAAATTGTACATGATAATAAATGGTGTTTTCAAAAATATTTAGAAACATCTTTTAAAATTTTAATGTGAAATCTGTAAGCAAAACAAAATTTCAGAAGTGTAGCCTATCATTTACCAGTGTAAATAATGGTGGAAATATTAAGGAATGCATAATTGTTTACACCCTTTTACTTATTTATTTTTTGTTTTAGGTTTTATTTATTTTATTTTATTTTATTTTATTTTTTGTCTGTTGCTCAGGTTGGAGGCCAGTGGTATGATCTCGGCTCACTGCAACCTCCACCTCCTGGGTTCAAGTGTTTCTTGTGTCTCAGCCTCCCAAGTAGCTGGGATTATAGGCATGTGCCACCACGCCCAGCTACTTTCTATATTTTTTGTAGAGATGGGGTTTTACCATGTTGGCCAGGCTGGTATCAAACTCCTGGGCTCAAGTTATCCACCCACCTTGGCCTCCCAAAGTGCTGGGATTACAGGCATGAGCCACTGCGCCTGGCCTATATCCTTATTTTTTATGAAGCATTATACTCTGTCATCCTCACTTGGTTTGTTTAAACCAATCTTTAAATAACATTTTCCACTCACTCCTACAATTACCCACAAATAGTTATTTGCTCAATAGGATCCTCAAAAGAAGCTTCAAATATCTACCCATTATAGGTGCCTGAATTCAATTTTAGAGGGGACTACAGAAGTTTGTAAATTCTCTGGGTTTACTCTTTGCTTTTTTTGTAACCCTGATAAATATGTGCCTTGGTTTTCCTCTTCTTTTTTTTTGCTAGATTGCAAATGGAATTAATATTCTAAATGAAACTCTTATCTTCTCATGTCCGAGTAAAATTATTCAGTGCCATCTCTTACCTTCAAAATCAAAACCTAGTCCTTTGCCCATTTTTTTATAGGGATATCTGGATTTTAATGTCTTTTTTTTTCTGTTGAGTTGTGTTTTCCTTATATTTTATGATATGGTTTGGTTGTGTCCCCACCCAAATCTCATCTTGAATTGTAGCTCCCATAATTCCCATGTGTCATGGGTGGGACCTGGTGGGAGGTAATTGAATCATGTGGGTGGATTTTTCCCATGCTGTTCTCGTGATAATGAATAAGTCTCATGAGATCTGATGGTTTTATAAAGGGAAGTTCCCCTGCACATGTTCTCTCTGGCTTATTGCCATGTAAGACATGTCTTTTGCCTTCCACCATGATAGTGACGCCTCCCCAGC
Source organism: Homo sapiens (assembly GCF_000001405.40). NCBI lineage: Eukaryota > Metazoa > Chordata > Mammalia > Primates > Hominidae > Homo > Homo sapiens. The sequence continues at coordinate 36,238,355 of NC_000023.11, forward strand.
CACATGGAGCTGTGTGTCCATTAAAAATCTTTTTCTTTATAAATTACCCAGTCTTGGGTGTGTCTTTATCAGCAGCATGAAAATAGACTAATACATTTTATCTATTATCCTCATATCACCTATGTAATTTGCGAATATTTTGTCCATTCCTTAGGTTGCCTTACATTTCATTGATTGTTTCCTCTGCTGTGACCTCTGTGAACTCAAGGGCCAGTAACATGTGAAGTTTGACACTGTTGACCTACCTTCTTAATGTTATTCACCCTTTATTTTATATTATTCTACATTTCTTGTTTCCTTGACATTAATTCCTTAACATTGGATTATCAAGTGATAATCAAACCTTGATTATTACTTATCTGGTCCGTTTATTCCTCTAACCTTCTGATTTCAAGTTTCACGCATCAAAAGCATCCTTATTTCTGTATGACCTCCCACTTGGCAGTTTCCTGGCTTCAGGCTATCATCTAAATACAAATACCAAATTCATACTTTTATTCAAGATGTACATGTAAGCTCCAGCCCTTCATTTTCAACTCCTTGCTATACCACTCCACTTTGATAATCTGTTACTATAGACTAGACTCAGCATGTTCTTTTAAATGTTTTCCTTGTTCAATTTTTCATTGGTGCTAGTAACTATTTTTATGATGCTTTGTATTTTTAAAAAGCTTTTTAATATACATTTCATTTGATTGCTGAAGGTTGAGACCTCTTTAACATGAAAGAGAAACTAAAAACTAGAGAACATAAATGAGATATAGGTAAAATGCTATAGAATTTTATCAAATTAACAAAGTAGTAGAAAATAATTATATAATAAAGAAGACAAGAGATGTGGGACTTCCACGAAGGTGAAGCAAGAAGGTTTGTAAATTCATTTTTTAAAGAAAAGCAATGAAAACACTGGCAAAAATTGTCAAAATCGAATTTTTCAGTGATCTTGAAATTAAAGACTTGAAATAATCTAAGAAGTATATATTTAAGAAAAACTCGGAATTCTGGAAAGAGCAGGATGGTTTGTGGCATTTTAACTTGAATTATTCTTATCCCTCTCTCTTTAGCTCTGCAGTCTTGCAACTGTAGTAACTATGAAAACCAGCAGCTTTGCAGTCAAAAGAAGAGACAGTGTATGGATTACTATTTGACCTTTTTCCAAGTTTGCTAGCAGCATCCCACTAGGAAGGCATTATCATTATTTGACTTGTCTCAGAGTTTGCTCTGATGGATAGGTCCTATCCTTAGAGCATTTGTCAAAAATATTTAGCAGCAATGGTTTAACATTGCAGTTGTCTGAGGCTGCAATAACAATAGCAGCTAATAAGAGATTGGCTAAAAACTTGAAAGGAAGATCTGGAATATAAGATGCCCTTAGGGGATTTTAGAATCTCTGGTATATTCCTGGGAAACAAGCAGGCCGCACGGATGTTCAAGATTGTGTACATGCCTGAGAGAGTCCTAATTTTTCACCTCTGGCTGATACAGACACTGTGAGAGCTGAAAATTAAGGCTAAATCAGAGTTTTAAACTACTTGAGTACTTAAAGTATACAACAACACATATACAGTACTCCTTGTCAAAGGATAGAAGATTTATTGGTTCTTTCACCGTTTATAGAAACCTGTGGCAAATTACTGCTGACCGCTAAGCCAACTAAATAGAGCTTCAGTGGGCACATACTATAATGAATACAGACTTTACAGAATTAGTTCAGAAAAGTCACTAAACCATAAAAGAACAAAACAACAAAAACAAGAACAATGAAAACAAACCATTAGGAGGGGATGATCTGATTTCCAAAGTGGCTATATTACCTTACATAAAAAGTAGTTTTCAATAAGAAATTAATTATGAGATGAAGCAAAAGGACAAGGAAGCAAAGAAACAGGAAAGTATGACCAATGCACAAAAAATAAGCAATTGTTAGAAGCTGTCTCTAAGGGGACCTACACGTTGAATTACTAGACTAAGACTTTAAATAAGCCTTTGTAAGTATATGCAATGAACTAAAAGAAATCCCATCTAAAGAATTAATGAAAAGTATGACAATGATGTTTCAATAAATATATCATATAAATATAGTTATAAAAATAATGAAAAAGACCAACATTCTGGTGTTGACGAGTACAATGAGAATTATTAATTATACAGCCTCAACAGTAGATGTAAGCTGGCAGAAGAAATAATCATCAAACTTTAATATGAGTCAATACAGATTGTCTAGTCTGGGGAAGAGGAAAAAATAAAGAAAAATGAACAGAACTTTAGATATACATGGAACAGCATCAAGCATACCAATGTATGACTTACAGTAGTTCTACAGAAGAGAAATATAATGGAAAAGAAATAGTTTTCAAAGAAATAAAGGCCAAAAAAGCCCCAGATTTTATTAAACTTTAAACCACATATCCAAAAAGCTCAACCAACTTAAAAACAGCATCAAAAAAATTACTGTATAGGTGAATAGAATATACAACATAAATATATGCTAGATGTAACTGCTTTTCCTTCTAGGTCATTTAAAAGAAAAAATGGGGAGGGGGACAATACGGCCAAATAGACACAGCCAAGAACTGCTGTTCCCATTGATAGAGACAAAAATATCCAGTAAGCCAACATAATTAGAGCAGATCTTCAGAGGGAAAACACCGAGAGTGGATTGAGAGGCAACTCAGACTCTGAGGCTGAAGGAGGAGGAAGCTGGAAACCCTACATGGGGTACCTGAGTGCTAGAGATAGTTCCTGGCCCCAAACAACTTCTGGGGAAGGGAAGAGTGAAGGAACTAAGGTACAGCTTATTCTCACTGCAGACCTTTAGGATACCAGCTACAGAGGACTCCATGTCCCCATGGATGTTTGAGCTGAGAAAGAGATGTTTTCAGAAAGTAGGCAGAGACAGGACTTCAGCTAACATGGAGCCAGGGGCTTTCCTGCATGAAGCAGCTCTGTTGGAGTGCAGCCGTAAGTGTCCAGGCCCCAGGGATCCCCATCTCCCTTCTAGAAGCTCTAGCCCCAGCTGACTGCCAGGCCAAGAGAGAGCAAGGGCAGCTTCCAGATGGAACTGGGGCACATTTATTCTGTACGCCCTACTGCTAGCCAGCATCTCCCAGGGCACCTGCCTGGCTGCCCCACAGAAGTGTGTGCACAATACAGCCTACACTCTCCAGGCTGAGTGCTTTGCTCCAACTGAGTACTTTCCTGGCAACCTGGGAGCACTTCAGATCCCTGAGAGCAGCTGGAGCCTGACCCCTAGCTGTGGGCCTGTCATGATGCCTTAGGGTTGCATCATGCAGCTCAGGAGTACTGAGCCAATATCTTTGGCCAGCACTCAAGTTGAAGAGGAGCCCCCAGTCTTAGAGCACTGAGAACAGTGAGACACATTAGTCCATCAGCTGGTGTGGGAGTGGGACATTCCTTTCTCTGCAAGGCCAGTCTAGAAACAGTGTGGCCTACCTGCCTGCTGCAGCCTCTGCCCAAGTGAGCCCCCTGGCCTGGAACGCCTAACAAAAGAAATGTGGGTGCAGTGCCAGTAATCAAATGGGGCTCCTCTAAGGCCCAGAAATCGACCTGGTGAGAGTGTCATCTCTTCCCCACCCTCTCCCACCACAGAGCACACATGCAAACATGAGAAAAAGAGTCACGTGGCTGTGTAAGAGCTTATCTACCAGTCATTATTCTTAAGCACCATCTACTGGATCACAGCCCAAAAGACAGCCCCCAAAATATTCTGCTAACATACACCCCTGTGAAACCAAGGGCAAGAATTCAGCCTCAAATAAATATTGTTTCTGAAAACATCCACAAACAAAGCAAACTGACTATACCCAAATTACACCACAGTTAAAGGAAAACCAACCCTCCCAGATAAGAAAGAATCAATGCAAGAACTTTGGCAATTCGAAAACCAGAGCGTCTTCTTACCTCCAAATGAGCCCACTAGGTCTCCAGGAATGGTTCTTAACCAGACTGAAATGACTGAAATTACAGAAATAGAATTCAGAATCTGGAGGGCAAGGAAACTTGACGACATTCAGGAGAAAGTTGAAACCCAATGCAAGGAATCCAATAAAATGATCCAATAAAATGATCCAAGGAGCTGAAAAGTGAAATAACCATTTTAAGAAAAAAACCAAACTGAACGTCTGGAACTGAGAAATTTACTACAAGAATTTCATAATGCAAATGGAGGTATTAACAGCAGAATAGACCAAGCTGAGGAAAGAAGTTCATAGCTCAAAGATGTTCTTTGAGTCAACTCAGTCAGACAAAAATAAAGTAAAAAGAATTTTAAAAGTTGAACAAAACCTCTGATAAAAATTAGATTATATAAAGAGACAAAGCTTGTGACTCATTGGCATTCGTGAGAGAAGGAGAGAAAGTAAGCAACATGGAAAATATATTTGAGGATATAGTCCATGAAAATTTCCCTAATCTTGCTAGAGAGGTTGACAAGCAAATTAAAGAAATACAGAGAACCCTGGCTAGATACTATACAAGACAACTATCCCAAAGGCACATGCTCATCACATTCACCAAGGTCAATGTGAAAGAAAAAGTCCTAAAGGCAGGTAAAGTGAAAGGTTAGGGCACATAGAAAGGACACCTGATCGTCTACCAATAGATCCTTCAGCAGAAACCTTACAAACCAGAAGAAATTGGTGGTAGTGGTGGGCTATTTTCTACATCCTTAATGAAAGGAAATTCCAACCAAGAATTTTATGTCCCACCCAACAAAGCTTCATAAGTGGAGAGATAAAATCTTTCTCAGATAATCAAATGCTGAGGGAATTTGTTACTACTAGATGAGACTGACAAGAAGTCCTTTAGGGAGTGCTAAACATAGAATTGAAAGGACACCTGCTTCCACAAAAACACACTTAAGCACATAGCCCATAGACATTATAAAACAACTGTGCAACCAAGGCTTCATAATTACCAGCTAACAACATGATGATAGTATCAAAATTTCACATATCAGTACTGACCCTAAATGTAATTGGACTAAAAACCCCACTTACAAAACACAGAATGGAAGGCTAGATTAAATGACAAGACCCAATTGACTGCTGTCTTCAAGAGACCCGTCTCACATGTAACAATACCCACAGGCTCAAAGTAAAAAGGATGGAAAAGGATTTACATGCAAAACAAAAAGAAAAAAGAGTACAAGTCTCTATTCTTATATCAGATAAAATAGAGTTTAAACCAACAACAATTAAGAAGAACAAAAAAAGGCATTACATTATGATAAAGGGTGCAAGTCAACAAAAAACTTAACTATTATATGTGTGTGTATATATATATATATATATATATATATATATATATATATATTCAATATTCGAGCATCCAGATTCATGAAACAAGTTCTTGATGTTCCAAAGACATAGACAGCCACATAATAATAGTGGGAGACTTCAACGCCCCACTGACAGCATTAGACAGATCATCAAGTCAGAAAATTTAGAAAGAAGTCCTGAACTTCAAAGAAGTCCTGAACTTAAACTTCACACTTGTCTAATTGGACCTAATAGAAAGCTATACAATGGTCCACCAAACAATCACAGAAAATACTTTCTTTTCATCTGTGCATAGAACATATTTTAAGATTGACCACATGTTCAGTAATTAAAGCAAGACTCAATACGTTAAAAAACAAAACAAAACTCATGCCCAGCACATTCTCAGATCACAGTGCAATAGTAATAAAAATTAATATCAAGAAGATTTCTCAAAACCACACACATACATGAAAATTAAATAACTTGCGCCTGAGTAACTGCTGGGTAAAGTTAAAAATTAAACCAGAAATCAAACATTATTTGAAACTAATAAAACTTGAGGCATAACTTATAAAAATCTCTGGGATACAGCTAAAGCGATGTTAAGAGAAAAGTTTACAGCACTAAAAGCCTTCATAAAGAAGTTAGAAAAAGCTCAAATTAACAATTTAACTTTGCACCCAGTGAAACTAGAAAAAAATAACAGACCAACCCCAAAGCTAGTATTATAAAAGAAAGAATTAAAATTAGAGAAGAACTAAATGATACTGAGACACATAAATCCATACAAAGGATCAATAAAATCAAGTGTTGGCTCTTAAAAAAATAAACAAGATAGAAAGTGCACTAGCTAGATTAACACAAGAGTAAAGAAAAGAAGATGCAAATAAGAACAATTGTAAATGATGAAGACATTGCAGTGGATCCCACGGAAATACAAAAGATCCTCAGAGACTATTATCATCAACTCTATGCAGACAAATTTAAAAATCTAAAGGAAATTGATAAATTACTGGAAACACACAACCTGCCAAGATAAAACCAGAATGTGAAGACCTGAACAGACTAATAACATGTTCCAAAATTGAATCAGTAATAAAAACCCCTACCAACCAAAAAAGCCCTGGACCAGATAGATTCACAGCCAAATTATATCACTGGTACCAATCCTACTGAAACTATTCCAAAAAATTGAGGAGGGGCTTCTCCCTAACTCATTATATAAATCCAGCATTAACCTGATGCCAAAATCTGGCAGAGACACAACAAAAAAGGATAACTTGAGGCCGATATCCCTGATGAAAGTACACACAAAAATCCTCAAAAAAATAATAGCAAACCAAATGCAGAAGCACATTAAAAAGTCAATACACCAGGATCAAGCAAGCATTACTCCTGGCATGTAAGTCTGGTTCAACATACACAAATCAATAAATGTCATTCACTCATTATAAGAATTGAAAGCAAAAATCATTTGGTCATCTTAATAGATGCAGAAAAAGCTTTTGATAAAATCCAGCATCTCTTCATGGGAAACACCTTCAAGAGACTAGGTATCAAAAAATCCATCTATGACAGACCCACAGCCAAAATCATAATGAAAGAGCAAAAGCTGGAAGCATTCACCTTGAGTACTAGAAAAAGCCAAGGATGCCAAATTTCACCACTCCTGTTTAACATAGTAGTGGAAGATCTAAACAGAGCTATCAGGCAAAAGAAAGAAATAAAAGGCATCCAAATGACAAAAGAAGAACTTAAACTATGTCTTTTTGCAGACAATATGGTTCTACACCTAGAAAACTCTAAAGACTGCCAAATGGCTCCAAGAAATGATAAAAAAACTTTAATAGAGTTTTAGGATAAACAAATAGAAGTATGAACATCAGTAGCATTTCTATCCACCAGCAATGTTCAAGCTGAGACCCAAATCAAGAACACATTCCAATTTACCATAGCCACAAAAAGTTAAAATATCCAGGAAGACAGCTAAGCAAGGAGGTAGAAGATCTCTGCAAAGGAAAATGTGAAACACGCTCTAAGGGTACAGTAACCAACACAGCATAGTACTGATGCAAAAACAAACACATAGACCAATGGAACAGAGTAGAAAACCCAGAAATAAAGCCACACACCTACGATCATCTGATCTTCAAAAAACCCTACAAAAACAAGCAATAGTAAAAGGACTTCCTATTCAATAAATGGTGCTGAGATAACTGTCTATCCATATGCAGAAGAATGAAACTGGATCCCTATCTTTCACTGTATACAAAAATTAACTCAAGATTGATGAACAATTTAAAGGTAGGACCTCAAACTATTAAAATCCTGGATTTTATTAGCTTGAGCACCTTTCTCAACATCAGCCTTGGCAAGGAAATTATGACTAAGTACCCAAAAGTAAATTGCAACAAATCAAAAATTTTATTAAGGATCTAATTAAATTAAAGAGTATCTGCATAGCAAAATAAATTATCAACAAAACAAAGACATCCTACAGAATGGTAGAAAATATTCACAATCTGTTCATCCAACAAAGGTCTAAAACCCAGAATCTATAAGGAACTTAAATCAGCAAGCTTAAAAGAAATAAGCCTGTTAAAAATTTGCACAGGACGTGAATAAACCCTTCTGAAAAGAAGACATACAAATGTCCAACAAACATATGAAAAAATGCTCATCATCACTAATCATCAGAGAAACACAAACCAAAACCAAAATGGCATACCGTCTGTATTAGTCCACTGCTATAAAGAACTGCCCAAGGCTGGGTAATTTATAAATGAAATAAGTTTAATTGACTCACAGTTCTGCATGGCTTGAGAGGCCTCAGGAAGCTTACAATCATGGCAGAAGACACCTCTTCACAGGGTGGTGGGAGGGAGAGGAACAAGCAGGGGAAATGCCAGATGCTTGTAAAACCATAAGATCTCATGAGAATTCACTCGCTGTCATGAGAACAGCATGGGAAACCACCCTCGTGATCCAGTTATCTCCACCTGGTCCCGGTTTTGATACGTGGGGATTATGGGGATTATGGGGATTACAATTGAAGATGAGATTTTGGGTGGGGACACAGCAAAACCATATCACCATCTCACACTAGTCAGAACGGCTGTTATTAAAAAGTCAAATAATAACAGATGTTGGAGTGGCTGAGAGAAAAGGGAATGCTTATACACTGTTGTTGGGAATGTAAATTGGTTCAGCCACTTTGGGTAGCATTTTGGAGATTTTTAAAATAACGTAAACTGAGCTACCATTCAACCCAGCAATTTCATTATTAGGTATATACCCAAAAGAAAACAAATCACTCTACCAAAAAGACACATGAACTCATATGTTCATTGCAGTACTATTCACAGTAGCAAAGACTTGGAAGCTACCCAGGTGCCCATCAGTGGTGGATTGGATAGAGAAAATGTAGTACATATATACCATGGAATACTATACATTCATAAAAAGGAACAGCATCATGTTCTTTGCAGCAACGTGGTTGTAGCTGGAGTCTAGAATTCCAAACAAAGTAATGCAGTAACAGAAAACCAAATACTGCAATTTGTCACTTACAGGTGGCAGCTAAACTTTGAATACACATGGACATAGAGATAGGAACAATAGATACACAAACTATTAGATGAGGAAGGGAAGGAGGGGGCATGTGTTGAAAAGCTACCTATTAGGTGCTGTGCCTACTACTTGAGTGACAAGATCCATAACCTAAACCTCAGCATCATGCAATATACCCATGTAACAAACCTGTACAAGTAACCCCTGTATCTAAAATAAAAATTGAAATTATTAAAAAACTTAAAAATTAATAATTATATAAATATCTTGGCAGGCTTAAAATGTGTAAAGATGTAATTGGTATGAATGTAGTAACATACAGGAAGACTAGAAGGATAGGTGCATACTGGAAAAATATTTCTGTATGCTACTGAAATTAAGTTAGAATTATTACAAAGCAAATTGTTTCAAAATAAGATGCTAGTTATAAAACCCAAGACATCTTAGAAAATAACTCAAAAATAGAGTAAAATATACGAAAAGGAATTTAAGTGACACATTAGAAAATATTTTACTCAAAATCTGACAGTAATGGAAGATTACAGGAACAAAGGTGACATAAGATATATAGATAATAGGAAAATGGCAGATTTCAGTTTTCTTGTCTGCATTATATATAAATTGTCTAAACACTCAAATGTCAGAAATTGGAAGAATGTATTTTTAAAGAAAAGTTCAACTTTAGGCTGCTTATATTAGACCCATTTTAAATAAAATGACAAAAATAGTTTGAAAGTAAAACATATACCATGAACATAGTTTCTAAAATAGAGCCAAAGTGGCTGGAGTATTTCAGAAATCAAATGACTTGAGACATAAAATTATTACTGCATATGAAGAGACATTTTATAAAGATAAAAGTGTCAATCTATCAGGAATATATACCAATTATAAGTATATACATGTATATGTATGTGTGTATATATATTATCATATATTATACACATATCATATATGTATTATGTATTATATTTATTATGTATTATATTTATTATGTATTATATATCATATATGTATTATGTATTATATTATACACACTATCAGAAGATCTACAGTTACCTATAAAAGATAATTCAAAAACAAGAATTATGTAGTATTAACATAAAATATTTTTCTATGCTTTAGAAAAAATATTTTTCTATGCTTTCTTTATAATATGTGTGTATATATATTATAACATATTATATATTATATTATATTATATATTATGATATATTTGATATATAATATAATTTTATTATAACATAAAGAAAGCATAGAAAAGTATTTTAAAAATATCACATATTATATCACACACACACACACACACACACACACAACAACAGAGCCTGAAAAGACATGAAGCAAAACCAACAGAATTTAAGAAGTCAGAAACAACAATGTTAGTTGGAGGTTTAAATATCCCACTGTCAATAATGGGTAATTAACTAGCCAGTAGATCAACATAGATATAGAAGACTTGCAAAAATCAATGAGATCTAATAGACATCTGTGGAACATTCCATGTAATAACAGCAGAATAAATATTCTTCTCAAGCATACATGGAATATTCTCCCAGATAGACTATGTCTTATAGCATAAAATAAACCTTAATAAATTTAAAAGCGAGGTAATCATGTACAGTATGATTTTTGACAACCACGGAATTAAATTAGAAGTCAAAAATGGAAATAAATTTGGGAAATCCTTGAATATGCGGAATTTAAAACAACATACTCCTAAATAACCAATAAGTCAAAGAAGAAATCACAAGGGAAATTAGAAAATGATATGAGATGAGTGAAAATGAAGACATAATTGACCAAAATTTAGGAGGTGCACCTGAAGCAGTGCTTAAAGGGAAATTTGTAGATGTGCATACCTGTAGTAAAAAAAGAAGAAAGATGTTAAGTCAGTTACCTAACTTTGTATCTTAAGTAACTAGAAAAACAAGCAAATGAAAGACAAGGCAAGCACAAAGAGGCAGTAAGAGAGAGTAGAGTGAAATAAAATGATATGGAAAATAAATCAATAGAGAAAACCAATAAAAACAAAAGTTAGTTATTTGAAAAGGTCAGTAAATAAGCTAATTTACCTTGACTGACAGAAAAAGAGAGAATACTCAAACTACTGAATTAAGAAATGAATATGGAGACACCACTATCTACCTGAAGAAATAATAATTAGAGATAAATACTAAGAAAACCTGTATGCCCATAAATTTGATAATTTGGAAAAAAACTGACCAATATATAGAGTTACAAAAACTACTGAGCTGACTCAAGAAGGAATAGAAATATGATGCACCTACAACAAGTAGAGAATTAGCATTTGTAAGACTTCCCACAAAGAAAACACAGTCTTAGATGGCTTTAATAGTGGATTTTACTCACAGTTGAAGAACTAATATTAATGTTTCACAAACACTTCTAAAAAATAAAAGATAAGTAAACATATTCTAACTTCCACTTTGAGATCAATATTATTACCTAGATAATAAATCCAGACAGAGGCATCATGGAAAATGAAAACTACAGATCAGTTTTCCTTAGGATTATAGCCGAAATACTCTCAACAAAATATTAGAAAACTGAATTCAACAACATTTAAAAATGATTATACACCAACATAGAATATATGGAATTGTATTACCAGAGTCCATGGCGATATATGGACTTTCCCTACACTACTGGAGTGTTTGAAGATTCCTAGAAAAGAAAATTCAAAAACAAGTGTTGGTGATGATGTGGATAAAGGAAAACCCTTTTAAACTGTTGGTGGGAGTGTAAATTAGTACAGCCATTACGATAAACATTATGAAGTTTCTTCCAAAAATTAAAAGTAGAACTATCATATGATTCTGTAATTCTACTGCTGGGTATATATTCAAAAGACTTGAAATCTCTATGTCAAAGAAATATCTGCACTTTGTTGTTCATTGCAGCATTATTCACAATAGCCAAGATATGGACTGAACCTGTGTCCATCAACAAATGAATGGATAAAGAAAATGTGATATGTACGCAATGAAATACTATTCAGTCTTAAAACAGAAGGAAATCCTGTCATTTGTGACATGGATGAACCTGGAAGCCATTATGTTGAGTGAAGTAAGCCAGGCACAGAAAAGCAAATATTGCATGATCTCAATTATATGTGGAATCTAAAAAAGTTCAGTTCATGGAAGTGGAGAGTAGAATGGTGGTTATCAGGAGCTGATGGGGGGAGTTGTTGGAGAGATGTGAATGAAAGGACACAAAATTTCAGTTTGATAGAAGAAATAAGTTCAAGAGAATTATTAGAGCTTGTGTACAGCATGGTTATGATAATTATAACAACGTACTGTATTCTTGAAAAGAGCTGAGAGAATAGATTTTTTGTTCACCACAAAAATGATAACTATGTGAGATAATGCATAGATTAATTAGTTTGATTTAGCCATTTCACAATGTATATATATATATATATCAAAACATCATGTTGTACATTATATACAATTTCTCATCCATTAAAAGTATGAAAAAGTTTTTAAAAGTATGCTAAATAAAAAAGTCAGTGACAAAAGTCCACATCGTACTGTTTAATTTCATTACTAATAATTGTTCATAACAGGCTCATATGTAGAGACACAAAGTAGATTATTGTTTCCCTGAGCAGTGGGAAGTAGGAAGATATAAGCACGCAGTAAACTGAAAGTTGGGTTTAGCCAGGGTGTGGTCAAATGCTGCTTAAATATTTTTTATTTGTTTTATTAATATTGATGTAGAAATTTATTGAAATGATTCATCTCTTTTGTATATCAAACTGCCTAAAGACAATTGTGCATGGTTGATGAGAGCTATTCAGACTTTCTAAGCATCAATGATCTTGATATAAGTAGCAACAGAATATAAGCATCATTTGTTTTGTAAGAATAATTTCCTTTGTTCCATTTTTAAATAGGTTTGTTCTTAGATTTCTCTTCTACTGGATGTAGAATTTTTCTGGCTTGCTGTTTTTTAAAAAAGTGAATGATTTTATTGGGGGTATTTAAATTAAATTTCAGTTTGTTCTATGCTTTAACTTGTTACAGTAATTTCATGTAGTGTAGTGTACTTATTTTATGTTGATACTACATAATTCTTGTTTCTGAATTATCTCTTATAGGTAACTGCAGATCTTCCAATAGTGTGGGGAAATCCACAAATTACAGTATACCCTTATAAAGAAATTCTGTACCTGATTCATGTGCGCCCTTGGAAACGTGGTATATTGAAAGGTATAAAATCCATTAATAAAATATTAGTCATTTTCCTACTACGCTAAGATGGAAATATGATGAGACAAATAGAAATGCAATTTGTATTTCCACTTTCTATTAAATGACTCAGAAGAAAGTTTAATTTTATATTTCAGTCATTAGCTTTCTAAGTAATCAGGGCTTTGATGCATACATTTTATGTCTAGTGCTATATTATCTTGGCCATTTATTCAAATTTATTTGTGGAACAAATTTCTATAAATGAAAATATTTAATTAAGGGTATTTACATTTAAAATGTGATAAATACTTTCAAATACTTATACCCGCGTATCAACCCAATGACATTTTAAGAGAATGTTTATTTACAGGACTGGATATTATAAAAACATTCACATGCACTTACTTGATATATGAAAAATAAGTTAAAGGTTTGATATATGTGAATTTTTTCCTTTATCTTCCCTTGTCTGTAATAAAGTATTTATTTATGCAGATTTCCGCAATGGTCCCAGAACAGAATTACTTACATGGGAATCGGAGGGAGAGGTGTTCCTGTTACTTTTTGAAGGGAGAGGGGTAAGAAGTGATAGAAGAGTAATAGCTAGTACTGAGTGATTATGATTCATCAAAGGAATAAGTTGTCCTATTTGAGAGAAAATTAAATTCCCTATGGTAGTTGGATACTGTTGAGGAAATTATTATAATGTAGGTAAGTGGATACAACTTTAGAAGTGTAGAAAGCATATACATATACACATATTCTTTCTACACTTACATATGTAGTGGTATCTACTGCTCCTTGGATGTACTAGCCTCACATCCCTGCTTACCTCAACAAAGTGTTTGAGGGAAGGGTTTATATCTAGTATAGAAGCGATAGTGAGCTGCTGCAAAGAAGAAAGTGCAGAGAGCATACTGGATGCCTATGCTATTAAAAAGCAGAAGGGAAATTTCAGAGTGCCAACCACAATGATCCAATTATTACCACTGTAATAGAATTTATGTAGGAAGAAACAGCTGCCAATCCCCATTCCCTGCTTCTAGTGTGCTTAACCTCAAATGCCAACACAACAAAAATTGTTAGCATCTTCTGAAATCTTCCCCTTGTTTTTGAGATGTTTAGATTTACAAACCCCATTAATAAGTCCTCATTTGATAGGTAGGTTTGAGCTATAATGTCTCTAGTCCAAACATTTCAATAAAGTAACATATTTTACTATTTTTTAGGTAATCCATAAGAAGTGAATTGATTTAAAGAAATTTAAGTTTTAGTTTTCATTTTAATTGTCATTGACAGTCCTAGTAGTTGGTATATTTTCCTTAATTTTAGAGTTTTAACTCGTCTTTTGTAAAAGGCAGCAAGTCATTCAGAATTGGTATAATTAGTTTTGATAAAACATAATCAATTTCAGTTTCCTGTTCTGTAGGAAGCAGTGAGTTCTACTACTTATGAGAAGAAACACATAAGAAACCACAAACTGTGAAACATTGTTGAATTTGGAATGTTTATAACTACCACAAAGCCCCTGGTCTGTGAATCAAACTCTTAAAGTTATTGGAATAGACTGACGAAAAATTAAATAATTAGATTTGGCAGGCCTTTCCTTTGTGTAATCTTTTTTGTTGTTGTTGGTTTTAGCAGCTTTTGTGGCACCACAATATTTCAATACATATTTTTACTATTTTGATATGGACTATTAACATGTTGGTTTGAAAAAATTTGGAACATATTTGGTGAAGTTAAATGCAGCGCAGGATACATTGTTAAGTGAGGATGAATTAGGTTAATGTTTCTGGCTATACAAACCATTTTACAGGCTTCATAATTTTGAAAAATATTTACAAGACGTGATCATGTTAGCTCTTCCCAGGGCAGTGCCTTAGAGTTAAATTAGTTGTCCCATTATGCTTTGGAAAAAACAGCCTGTAAAAGGGAGCCTAGCTCTAATTTTTATTGATATTACTATTGGAAGACTTAAACTATAGATTAAACAGTATAAATACAATTGCTTCTGAACAGCTGCTAACTAATCTGAAGTGATATAAAGAAAGCTAGATTATAAAAATTTCACACATATGAGAATTTTCCTGCTTTTGCTGGTTAAAGAACCGTGTCCATGTATGGGTGCATGCATGTGTACGCACGTGTGTTATGTATCAGATACTTTTTTAAAATTTTGTGTTCATTTTCAATTCTGTTATTGATTATATAATAATTATTTACTAAAGACCTATAATTTGGAAAGCCTTTATAAACATAGTAGTTATGAACAAAGCTGACATTCAACTAATTATGCTTTGCTTATTGAAATATTGTAACAACTGATCTTTTCTTATATGTTGGCAAATATTCAGTTGTTTGAGCTCCACTATCAAATAACTTTTGCCAGTCCAGATACCACAGCCCCTCACCCAGAACTCTTGGAACCTCCCAACAATTTAGCAGCTCCTAAAGTGTTAACACATAAAGCATCAGGATGCCTCAGGACCTAGATCAGGCAGGACCTAGATCAGGTGTCCTTTCTGGTTGGTCAGTATTGGGATAAAGTTTTGTTAATTATTTTGAATATTACCACTGTATCTAAATATGAATATCACGTAGCTCCTTCTTCCTGAGAATTCACATCTGGTGGTGGAAACAGGTATCCATAAATCATCTCAATGAAGGTATGCTTTGATATATCTAAAGTTTAATTATAGCACTGGGGAGCCTGATGGAAGGAAATATTAATCCCAACAATGGGGGTCTGAGAGGGCTTCACAGGGGATGGTGGGTTTGATCTGAACCTTGAAGAATATGGCAGAGGGTTGGGGAAACTTTCCAGCAGGAGAAATAACCTTATTGAAAACACAGAGAAGACAGTTTCTGTAAATTAAAAAGTAGATGGATGTGTTTGGAGTGCATGTGTGAGGTAGGGAGTGCAGAGTGACATACAATTAGCAATGCAGGTAGACATTTTAGGGCAGAGTTTTGTTTTACTTATTGCACTGGGAGCCATTGAAGATTGCTGAGGAGGCAAGAGGTATGAGTCAACTGAGTTTGAAAAAGGGAAATCTGGAGGTAATATAAAAAACAGACAGGAGGGGTGAGATAGGCCAGTAAGATCTGGGAGATCATTTAGGGGTCTTTGACAATATCCAAGGTAATCAGTTCTGTGTACCCACTCCCAAAAGCAAACCCTAAGGCAAGAGTTTAATTGCAAGTAGTTAATCTGAGAGGTGATCAGGAGAATCACACTAAGTAAATGGGGAAGTGAGATGCTGGAGGGAGAAAGCCAATAAGTAAGCAAGCTAGTTATCAGGTTACTGCTGAAAACTGAGGGACCTCACTGGGACCTTCAGAAAGAATTGTCATACTGAAGGGCAAGGGAGTTGGAGTACTTATCTGTTAACCCCTAATTGATTAAAGCTTTCTCTTAGGTCAGAGGTCTGTAACAGTGAGTTCCCACAGGCAGAGTTGTAGGAAACCACTGGTGTGTATAGGAACTCTCTGCAGGGGGGATTTTTGTGAGGGCACTGACAGCATGTACTAATGTTATACCAATATTATATTTGGTATGTTTGTTGGTAGAAAGAAATGTTGGGAACTGGATGGATTTGGAATTTTCAAGGCAGCCTGCAGTGATCTACGATCATGTTCCAAGTGTGCCTGTGTGGAGGTTTGTTTTAAATGCCTGTTTGGCCATGGAACCAAAAGTGAAGATGGACCATTCTAAATCAGAGTTAGGGCAGAACAAACTAGGCAATGATAATGAATTAAGAAACAGAGGGACAGCTTCAAGAGAAATAAAGAGGGAAAATGATGCTGTAACAGGTTGAGTTTCCAGGAAATCAGATTCCGAGAGAGGAAGTTAGAATGCAGGACATTTATTAGGGAAACTGTTATGAGCAACACTTGTGGGAAAAAAAGGTAAGAAAGTATGTTTAGCAGAGGTAGAAACTGAGCTTTGGCGAAGGCCCACTGAAGGCTTCAGCCAACTCATTAAGGCTCCTGAAGCTGGGATGGCTCTTCAGAGTTGTCCCGAGTTGGGAGAAAGAGACTAGACCTTCACAGTACTGTGTTGATCAGTCATTGAAAGTGGGCTACATGTGGAAGGAGGTTTGACCTTGAGTGAAGCTTTTATTTTTTTTTTCAAGCAAGGCAATGCATAAAGAGGGCTGACCTGTTGGCCATCTTCCAGCATTATATCCAGTAGCTATGGGAGTAAGTTCCTCATTCCTGAAAAGATATATCATTAGTGCATTGTAGTGTCTTCCACAGTTGTATTTGATGAAAATTGAATATGAAAAAGAAAGGAGAAAGTAGAGTCAAATGTACTTCGGACAGTAAGCAACTCTAAGCAAAGTGAAACCAATAACTGTGAGGGGGAAGTAATCAGAAGGGTAAGTTTACTGCTTAGGAATGAAAGCCTAGTTCTATCTCGACTTCAAAGTTATCTTTTTATGTCATTAAGTTTTGGAAAAAAATGACAATATAGAATAAGTAAACCTAGATATAAAAACATATAACCTTAAGGAGAAACAAACAAATCCAAGCAAAAATCACCATGTTTGCAGGTGTGAGAGAGATAATGTGTTAATGACTGAAAGCAATAAAACACGATTGCTTAATTCTTTCTTTTGTAACTGTAAAATGACCTATCTGGTATAGATAAATATGAGAATGCAAAAAGCTATTATTACTGTTCATTATTACAGGATTAGTGTGTAACCAACTGTAGACACAGAGTAATGGCCTGTTACTTATTTGCAGTGGTGAAATATGCAAATAAATTTTCATTTATCTTAGCTAGAAGCTGTTTTGTTTTGCACAAGACTAGTATATAGGTGAAGATGAGTAGGCCTTAGTGGTGATTATATACTTTATTAGTAGTAATTCTCAATTTTATTTTGATTGCAACAACATAATATGATTCAGAAATATGATTTAGAGATGGCTGTAAAGATGCATGTTCACAACATAAAGCAACTAATTTGTAATGTAGCACTAGCAAAATAACTTGTAAGTGTAAGAGTTAAGACTGTATCATTTGGTATACCTTACATATCATTTTCCTAATAATTTGCTCCAGTTGTTCTTTAATAATCTACATAGACCTCATGTCTCTGGCATGACTTTTCTGAGCTCTGTATGAAGACGTCATCAATCAGCTTAGCTTTTTTTCAGCCTGTGAACATCAGGGTTAAACTACAACTTTAAAAAACATGTTTTACAAACAACAAACAGGGAGATGTGTAAACTTGTAAAGATACTTCTAGGGATCCCTTTCTATGTCTAGAGCTAGGAAGCTAAATAATTAATTTGGGGCTTGGTGATCCAAAAATATGTGAAAACTGTACCCCAAACCATGCAAATGTGAGCTCTTTAACTAATGATTTTGCTCTTATGGTCCCTAAAGCCAAGATTCCAGCCACTACTGAGTAGCACATATTCCAGAACAAATGTCATCTCCAATGATGACCCACTACAGTAGATTCATGCTGTTTTAGTTTCTGTGTGTTTAACTCAAAATTTTCAGTTGAGAGAGGATTCTCTGAATATCTTTCCAACATATTATAAAAATAGAAACCCATGAATGTTTTTAAAGGCTTTTATTTTATTGTTAACTAGTGCAGTTGATTTTTTAAAGCCTTAGTATAGGACTTCATAATTATCTCTTGTGAACTTCTACATGTAAGCAACAAATACAGTTTCATCTCCAAGGAAAAAGTTTTTAGAATTTCTTACAGTCATCAATGATGTTTTATTTGTGAACCTGAAGGACATAAAAAGAGGGGGTAGAACTCAGTAATCGAGTATCTTCCCTTTGCCCGCAGGATTGATGAAAGGACAACAGAGAAAGGATATAACAAGAATAATTTATTGAATTATGAGCCATTTAAGCATATGAACAAAACCAGGCTAGAAGACTTTAATATGTTGATCATGGCCTGGTGGCCTAAAACTATCTCCAAACATTACACAACAAGAATATTTTCTTTTTCTTTTTTCTTTCTTTTTTTTTTTTTTAAATTGAGACAGGGTC
Source organism: Homo sapiens (assembly GCF_000001405.40). NCBI lineage: Eukaryota > Metazoa > Chordata > Mammalia > Primates > Hominidae > Homo > Homo sapiens. Next base: position 36,257,455 of record NC_000023.11, read on the forward strand.
TCACCCTGTTGCCCAGGTAGAGTTCAGTGGTGTGAACATGGCTTACTGTAGCTTCGACCTCCTGGACTCAGCGATCCTCCCACCTCAGCCTCCCATGTAGTTGGGACAACAGTTGTGTACCACCATGCCTGGCTGTTTTTGAATTTGTTTAACATATGGAGCCTGACCATGTTGCTCAGGCTGCTCTTGAACTGCTGGGCTCAAGCAATTTACCTGCCTTGGGTTCCCAAAGTGCTGAGATTATAGGCGTGAGCCACTGCACCTGGCCAGCAAGAATATTTGCACACAGTATGTACTTTGTGCACTTACAGTGGCAAGTCTTTGGATTTTATATAACCCTACATGGACTCAGTTCACTGTAGTCACCAAGGTGCTTTAAATATTTTTACTCCATACTAAAAAACTAAATACAAAGGACCAAAGGGTTTCCAGTCATATTAGTAGTCTTCATTTCTACCTTGAACATTCATGCTATAGTAGTGTGAAATTCTCTTATTATCCATGACTGTTAGTAGCCTGGTAGCTGCAGCAAGTAAGTAAGAATGATCAATTTTGATTTTGTCAAAATTCAGCTTGTATTTTGTTTAATAGCACCGAAAAGTGCTTTCTTACTTGCTGAAAAATTATTGTGTTCCTTAACACAACTGTAAACTTTGTGCTTGTTTATGTATAGAGAACATTCATTTCTAAAAATTTGCAATTTGGAACTTGCTACACTGGAATGGGATCTTTTTATGACACTGGCATAAGAAAGCTTCATTCAAATTGCAAACAAGCTTTTAGTTCGCTTTTGTAAAAGATCCCCAAACCAATAGAGTTAGCTTGAGAAATATGAAGTTTTGTTTTTATTCAACACTAAATATATCCATAGTAGGCTTATTTTGTCTTTACTTTTATAAAACAATTTTTAGATATTACTTTCTAGAATATAAAGAAATAATTTTCTTTACAATGAGAGCTCTTTAATATTTATTATTTTTATTCTGGAATATAAGCCAAGCTACATTTACATATCCTGAATAAGCCGTCTTTGATTTTTGACATTTAATTGATGCACAACTATTTTCAGGGCTTCAAACAAGAATATTGTAGCAATTGAGGATAACTTTACATAAAATGTAGTCTCAGTGTGAGTTTATGTATCTTAGGAATATGTAATATTTTCTCAAATAAATGCAGCTTTTTAAAAATGAAAGGCCACCATCGACATATAATTATTTTTCTATATTTCCATGTTGCATAAATAAAAGACTCTGGTTATGTACCTGATACCACTTTCAGGCTGTAGAACCTCAGCCAGGTTATTCCATCCCCAGAGCATCCATTTCTTTATCCACGGAAATGCAATATAAATACTTTCTCTATCACCTGTTGCTGTGTCATCAATGGGTGATAGCACTGTGAAGCCCCTAACATAGAACATGCAGAAGGCAGTAAATAAATATTATTATTTTATGCAATTTGACACACATCACTTCAACTACCAATATTATCCTTCTCTAACTGTGTAATCTTGGGTAATTTACTTAACCTCCCTGAATGTCGGGTTTTTTTGTTTGTGAAATATAGATAATATTTAGACTTTCAGGGTGGCTATGGGGATTAAATGGAAATATATGAAAACTGTTGATTTAGTAGGTGTTCAATTAATGTCGATTGCTCTTATTTAAAACACTAACTCTCAACTCTACCCATCTGCTCCTCACATTTGGAAAAAGTCATTTCCAACATTGAAAACGATCATTTAGGGGCATAATTTGCACAAAATCGCTGTGTTTATTAAAATTTATCTTTTATTCTTTAAATGTAGCAAGTGCTAGAAAAAAATCTGTGTGAGAAACTGGCTTAGGGCATGCATGATACAAATGTAAAAATATACCATTTACATATAGATTTGCAAAATATATAAATATATATGTATATATGTAGTATTTGAGGCTTATTAGAATTTTGCTTATGATTGTCAGTTTCATTTTTATGTCTCCTAGTAACTATTGAAAAATGCATGATTTCTTTATTAATAATAACTATTAACAGCAACTACATATACTTCTCTAATCCTCTAACAGTATTTGATATAGGTACTATTATTTTTTTTGTTGTACCAAGAAGGAAACTAAGTCACAGACAGCTTAATTTTTTAGGCACATCGTTTGTCAATGGCAGAGCTGGAATTGGAACCTGGGAAGTTTGACTCCAAAGTATTTGCTCTGCATCACTCTACCACATTGTCTCTTTATTAATTTTTTTTTTGCCTTTTCTACTTTTATTTTAGATTCAGGGAGTACATGTGCAAGTTTGTTACATGGATAAATTGCATGTTGCTGAGGCTTGGTGTGCAAATGACTTTGTCACCAAGGTATTTAGCATAGTACCTGATAAGTTGCCTTCCAACCAATGCCCTTCTCCCACTTTTCCCCCTCAAGCAGTTCCCAGTGTCTATTGCTCCCATCTTTGTGCCCATGTCTATTCAATCTTTAGCTCTCATTTGTAAGTGAGAACATGTGATATTTGGTTTTCTGTTCCTGTGTTAGTTTGCTCAGGATAATGGCCTCCAGATGCATCCATGTTGCTTCAAATGACACAATTTCATTCATTTTTATGGCTACATAGTGTTCCATGGTGTGTGTGTGTGTGTGTATGTTTGTGTAACATTTTCTTTATTCAGTACACTCTTGATGGTCATCTTGGTTGGTTCCATGTCTTTGTTATTGTGAATAGCCCTGTGATAAACAATATGAGCACATAAATTCTTTTGGTAGAACTATTTATTTCCCTTTGGATATATGCCAAATAGTGGGATTGCTGGGTCAAATGATAGTTCAAAATTCTTTAAGAAGTATCCAAACTGCTTTCCACAGTGGCTGAACTAACTTACATTCCCACCAACAATGTGTAAGTGTTCCCTTTTCTTCACAACCTCGCTAGCATCTATTATTTTCTGACTTTTTAATAATAACCATTCAGATTGGTGTGAGATGGTATCTCATAGAGTTTTTGATTTACATTTATCTAATATTTAGTTATGATCAGCATTTTTTCATATATTTGTTGGTTACATGTTTGTCTTCTTTTAAGAACTGTTTGTTCATGTGTTTAGCTACATTTTTAATGGGGTTGTTTGCTTTTTGTGTATTAAGTTACTTATAGATTTTGGATATTAGACCTTTGTTGAATGCGTACTTTGCAAATATTTTCCCCCATTCTGTAAGTTGTCTGTTTCTCTTGCTGTGCAGAAACTTTTTACTTTAATTAGGTCCCGCTTGTCTGTTTTTGGTTTTGTTGCAGTTGCTTTTGGTATATTCAACAAGACATCTTTGCCAAGGTCTATGTCCAGAATGGTATGTCTTAGGTTTTGTTCTAGGGTTTTTTTATAGTTCAGGGTCTTACATTTAAGTCTTTAATCAATCTTGAGTTCCTTTTTGTGTATGGTGAAAGGAAGGAGTACAGTTTCAGTCTTCTGCATATGGCTAGACAATTACCCCAGTACTATTTATTGAATAGGGAGTCCATTACTCATTGCTTGTTATTGTTGACTTTGTCAAAGATCAGATAGCTGTAGGGGTTCAGCTTTATTTCTGGTTTCTCTAACGTGTTGGATTGGTCTATGTGTCTATTTCTGTACAGGTACCTTGCCATTTTGGTTACTTTAGCCTTGTAGTATAGTTTCTTTTTTTTTTTTTTTTTCCTTTTGCAAGTAATTTATTTCCCCTTCAGTTCACTGACAGTGTAGCTGTGGCTCATTTTCACTGATGTAGAGGAATAGTTAGTGCTTATTAAAACACCTGCTATGTGCTGGGAGCAAATGGTTTATATTTCATATTTGGTTGAACCCTTAAGGCCACCCTATCAGTTAGATACTATTCTTTTTTTTTTTTTTTTTTTTTTTTCATTGATCATTCTTGGGTGTTTCTCGGAGAGGGGGACTTGGCAGGGTCATAGGACAACAGTGGAGGGAAGGTCAGCAGATAAACAAGTGAACAAAGGTCTCTGGTTTTCCTAGGCAGAGGACCCTGCGGCCTTCCTCAGTGTTTGTGTCCCTGGGTACTTGAGATTAGGGAGTGGTGATGACTCTTAATGAGCATGCTGCCTTCAAGCATCTGTTTAACAAAGCACATCTTGCACCGCCCTTAATCCATTTAACTCTGAGTGGACACAGCACATGTTTCAGAGAGCACATGGTTGGGGGTAAGGTCATAGATCAACAGCATCCCAAGGCAGAAGAATTTTTCTTAGTACAGAACAAAGTGAAGTCTCCCATGTCTACTTCTTTCTACACAGACACAGCAACAATCTGATTTCTCTATCTTTTCCCCACCTTTCCCCCTTTTCTATTCCGCAAAACCGCCATCGTCATCATGGCCCGTTCTCAATGAGCTGTTGGGTACACCTCCCAGACGGGGTGGTGGCCGGGCAGAGGGGCGCCTCACTTCCCAGAAGGGGCGGCCGGGCAGAGGCGCCCCCCACCTCCCGGACGGGTCGGCTGGCCGGGCGGGGGCTGACCCCCCACCTCCCTCCCGGACGGGGTGGCTGGCCGGGCGGGGGCTGACCCCCCACCTCCTGTAGTATAGTTTCAAGTCAGGTAGTGTGATGCCTTTGGCTTTGCGTTTCTTTTAAATTTTTTTATTTTTAATTATTGTGGGTACATAGTAGTTGTATGTATTTGTGGGGTACATGAGATGTTTTGATAAAGGCATGCAATATGAAATAAATCATGGAGAATGGGATATCCATTCCCTCAAGCATCTATTATTTGTGTTACAAACAATCCAATTACAATCTTTTAGTTATTTTAAAATGTACAATTAAGTTATTATTGTCTATAGTCACCCTGTTTTGGTATCAAATAGTAGGTCTTATTCATTTCTTCTATTTTGTTGTACCAATTAACCATTCCTACCTCCCACCAACCCCCCACTACCCTTCCCAGCCTCTGGTAACCATCCTTCTACTCTCTGTCACCATAAATTCATTTGTTTTGATTTTTAGATCCACAAATAAGAAAATGCAATGTTTGTCTTTCTGTGCCTGGCTCATTTCACTTAACATAACGATCTCCAATTGCATCTATGTTATTACAAATAACAGGATCTCATTCTTTTTTATGGCTAAATCATACTCCATTGTGTGTATATACGCATTTTCTTTATTTATTCATCTGTTGATGTATGCTAACATTGCTTCCAAATCTTAAATATTGTGAACAGTGCTACAACAAACATGGGAGTGTAGCTATCTCTTTGATATATTGATTTCCTTTCTTTGGGATATATACTCAGCGATGGGATTACTGGATCATACAGTATATCTATTTTTCATTTTTTAAGGAACCTCTAAACTGTTCTTCACGATGGTTGTACTAATTTATATTCCCAACAACAGTATATGAGGGTTCCCCTTTCTCCACATCCTCAGCAGCATTTGTTATTGCCTGCCTTTTGGATATAAGCCATGTTGCCTGGGGTGAGATGATATCTCATTATAGTTTTGATTTGCATTTCTCTGATGATCAATAATGTTGAGAACCTTTTTACATGCCTGTTTGCCATTTGTATGTCTTCTTTTGAGATATATTTATTCAAATATTTCTCCCATTTTTATCAGATTATTAGTTTTTTATAGAGTTGTTTGAGCTCCTTATATATTCTGGTCATTAATCCCTTGTCTGATGTGTAGTTTGCAAATGTGTTCTCTCAATCTGTGGGTTGTCATTTCACTTTGTTGATAGTTTCTTTTACTGTGCAGAATATTTTTAATTTGCCATTGTCTTCTGGCCTATAAAATTTCCACTGAAATGGCTGCTGTCAGACACATGGGAGCTCCATCGTATGTTATTTGTTTCTTTTCTCCTGCTGCTTTTAGGATCCTTCCTTTATCCTTGACCTTTGGGAGTTTGATTATTAAATGCCTTGAGATAGTCTTCTTTGAGTTAAAACTGCTTGGTTTCTGTAACATTCTTGAAGGTGGATAGTCATATCTTTCTCTAGGTTTGGGAAGTTCTCCATTTTTATCCCTTGGAATAAACTTTCTACCCATAGTTATTTGCTTACCTTCCCTTTAAGGCCAATAACTATCTTTCCAAAGACAGAGGAGCCCCACCTGTGGCTAAAACCACTGCAGGCCATGAGGAATACTGCCAAATGACAGCCAATGTTCCTTTAAGGCCCAAGGGCTCTCAAGTCAGCTTGTGGTGAATGCTGCCTGACCTGGGACTCACCCTTCAGGGCACTGGGCTCTCCTCTTGCCCAGGGCGAGTCCAGAAACGTCATCCAATAGACAAGTCCTGAAATCAAGGACGCCAAGAGCCCCTGTGGCCATGCTGGTACCTAAGGTGCAAGTTGATGTCCCTTTTACTTTTCACTCTGCTTTTCTCAAGCAGCCACCCTATAGCCATCACAACTGGTGATGTGCTGAGTCTCACCTGAAGCCAGCAAGTCTCAGAGGCTCACCCAAGGCCCTTGATGTAGTACCTGGGTATTACTGCTGGTTATTCAGGGCCCGAGGACTCTTCAGTTAGCACGTGATGAATGCTGCCAGGACTGTGTCCTTCCCTCCAATGTATCTGGTTCCCTTCTGACCAAGTGTGTGTCTAGAAATGTCGTCTGCGAGCTAGGGCCTAGAATGGGATCCTCACAACATTGACTGATGCTTATCCTGCTGTGGCTGAGCTGCTATCCAAAATGCAAGACAAAGTACTCCCCATTCTTCCCTCTCCTTTCCTCAAGGGGAAGGAAGGGGTCTCTTCTGGAGCTACGAGCCTTGCAGCCTGGGGTTAGGACTTCAGTGATGCCAGCTCTCCCTCACCCAGCTGGTGTCTCAGTAGATCACGTACACCCCCCAGTCCATTGTCTCTGGGCTAGATCTAGGGTTTGCTTAATGACTGCAGTCTTTATAGACTATACTGCCTTTCCAGTATATTTATAGACCCAACACAGTTTATCCCTTGGTTGCAAGGTTTGTAGGAACTCAAGTTCAGACCACTGGGATTGACAATTCCCCTCTGGCGAGGACTGGTTTAAATGCTCCCTCTGTGGGTGGGCATCAGCTGATTTTGGTCTGGTTTTCCTTTCTGCTCTAACAGGAAAGCACTGAGTTAAATACCCCACAATTGCTATGCTTCTCCTCCTCCAGCACCCAGAGATGCTCTCCGCTCACTGCCACCATTACTGTGGGGTGGGTGACGGGTGACATTGGAGACTCAAGACTTTTTTTCTATTTCTTCAGTGCCTCTTTCAGTGACACAGATATAAAGCCAAGTACTAAGAGGGCACACCTGATTTTTGGTTCTTATGAAGGTATTTTTTCTGTGCAGATAAGTGTTAAAATGCTATTGTTGCAGGGGAGATAATCAGTGGAGCCTTCTATTCTGCCGTCTTGCTCCAACTCTCCCACCTTTGACTTTCTTCTTTTTGCTTAGGATTGCTTTGACTATTTGGGCACTTTTTTGGCTCCATATGAATTTTAAAACAATTTTTATTTCTAATTCTGTGAAAAATGTTGTTGAGAGTTTCACAGAAATAACATTGAATCTGTAAATTTCTTTGGGGCATTTGGCCATTTTAATAAGACTTCTTCCTGTGCATGAGCATGGAGTGTTTTTTCATTTGTGGTGTCTTGTGATTTCTTTCAGCTGTGTTTTGTAATTCTCATTGTAGTCATTTTTCACCTCCTTGGTAAGCTGTATTTCTAGGTAGTTTATACTTTTTGTGCCTATTATAAAAAGGACTGTGTTCTTGATTTGGCTCTGAATTAGGACATTTTCCATGTGTAGAAATGCTACTGATTTTTTTGTGGGTTGATTTTGTATCCTGAAAATTTACTGAAGTCATTTATCAGTTCTGGAAGCCTTCTGGTGGTGTCTGTGAGTTTTCTGAGTATAGAATCATATTGTCTGTGAAGAGATTGTTTGACATCCTCTCTTCTGATTTGAATGCCCTTTATTTCTTTATCTTGTTTGATTGCTCTGGCTAGGACTTCCAGTATTATGTTGAAGAGGAGTAGTGTGAGTGGACGTCCTTGTCTTGTTTCAATTCTCAAGGTGGATATTTCCAGCTCTTGCCCATTCAGTATGATATTGGCTATAGATTTGTTGTACATGGTTCTTATTATTTTGAGGTTTGTTCCTTCGGTAAGTAATTTGTTGAGGGTTTTGAATGTGAAGTGATGATAAATTTTATTGAAGACCTTTTCTGTGTCTCATATCTTAATGTGCTTTCTTGCCATCCAGATTTTGAATTCTATGTCTGACATTTCAGCCATTTCAATCTGATTAAGAACCATTTCTGGGAAGATAGTGTGATTTTTTTGGGGGGTAAAAAGATACTGTGACTTTTAGAGTTTCCAGAGTTCTGTGCTGGTTCTTTCCATCTGTGAGGGCTGATGTTCCTTTATCATTTGAAATTGCTGTCATTTGGATGGGCTTTATATTTTTATGGTCATTATTGCCCTTGAAGGTGTGACTGCGGTACAAGTTGTGTATAGTTGAATGACTTAGTTTCTGGATGCTTTCAGAGGGCCAGTGCTCAATTCCACATTGCTGGGCTATGTACTCTATCCATGAGTGACTGGTACTGGGTCCATGGCTTTGTCCACTGTTCCCTTGAGGTTAAGCCCAAGCTGGGATGGAGGAGCTGAGGCACTGCCAGATTATTGGCAACAGCACTCCATAAGGAATGATGGGGGCACGGTGGGTGTAAATGCTCCAGTGGGGGTGGCGAGAGCACTATGAGTGGGAAGTGCTCTGGTGGGGGACTTGGGAGCACCACAGGTGACAGGCTCTTCAGCAGGGGTGCCATGGGTGGGATGCACTCGGGCTGGGTTGATGGTGGCACCACTGATGGGACACACTGTGACGGGGTGGCAGGGGTGCCACAGGTGGGATGCACTCCAGCAAGGGTGACACCAGAAGGAAGTACTTGGGGAGGTGGGTGGCCATGGGCTGGAAGTGCTCCAGTGGGCACAGCATGGGCACTATTTGTAGGAGGTGCTCTGGCAGGGGCACTGTGGGTGGGAACCCTTCTGGCAGGGGATGCCATGGTCAGAAAGTACTTCGGTGGGACAGTGGTGATGCCGCAGCTGATTGTGACCCATAGGGACAGTGGTGAGGTTGCAGACAAATGCCTTCTGGTGGGAGGATGTCAGCAAAAGTGCTCCAGTGGGGTGACAGGAGGATCTGGTTAAAGTGCTATGATGGTAGATGCTGGCAAAAAACCTTTTGGTGGGGTAGCTGAGGCTGCACTGCGTGTAGGCATGGCCCGGCAGGAACTCTGGGAGGGGCTGGGAGGTCAGTGGGGCATGCAGATCAGATTCGCCCTGGTCCTATGGAAAAGACAGCCCTTTTCTCTCCAGGTCTAGCAGCTTACATATGTCAGACCCACCCCTTTCCTCAGGAGCTGTTCAGGGCCTGGAACGTATCCTGCCACTCAGCAATCCCATGCATGGTTCCCAGCTTCCTCCTCCTTCAATCCCAACATCTGGGCCCTCTCTTCAACCTCTCTCAGTGCATTCTTTCAGACAGTCTGCTTGACGCATGCCATATTCCTCAATATTCTGATCTGTCTTGGTGAGAGAAGTTCTTCCTGGCTGTGTCTAGTTAGCCATCTTGTCCAAGTCTTTGACATTGAAAGAAACTTATTGACCATAGTACCACAGGAACAGTTGAGATATTATCTAATGTAAATTTTGCTTTTTTCTGTGTTTTTCTTTCTCCTCACTGTTCCCTTCTTAATTTGATTTGCAAAAGCCAAAAATGCCAGATGATTATATACACCTCTCTTGACAACTTCCAAATATGATATGGGCATATGGGGGATTTGGAACTTCTTTTGTCCCCTCTCTATCCTAGCTTATTTCAGTGAAAAAAGCTAGGTAGAGTGCTATCAATATCTTGGCTGAAACTGAATTTGGATCTTTTTGGTTTTTTGCCATCAGCAATATTGACTGCCATACTTGTAGACACGAAACCAATCAGGTGTCATTGGTCTTTGAAAATAATTATTGTTTGCTATAAAGTGGTTCATGTTCTTTTTTTTTTTTTTTTTTTGAGACAGAGTCTTGCTCTGTTGCCCAGGTTGGAGTACAGTGGCATGATCTTGGCTCACTGCAAGCTCCGCCTCCTGGGTTCACGCCATTCTCCTGCCTCAGCCTCGTGAGTAGCTGGGACTACAGGCACCCGCCACCACACTCAGCTAATTTTTTGTATTTTTGGTAGAGACGGGGTTTCACCGTGTTAGCCAGGATGGTTTTGATCTCCTGACCTCATGATCCACCCGCCTTGGCCTCCCAAAGTGCTGGGATTACAGGCGTGAGCCACCGCGCCCAGCAAAGTGGTTCATGTTCTTTTAGGTGACAGGAGTGATTTTTAAAAGCAAGACCTTGAGGCATTGTGGAGATCGTATATTTGGTATTATTGGATGCTCTCATGGTCCTTTGGACATTTTTCTTTTCGTTTACAATTTTAGCTTTCCCAGGTAGCCTATGCTCTGATGTTTCATGATGCTATTACCCTAGAGGGTTTGTGAGTACTAGACTTTTTCTTTCTGACTCTTGATACCAAAATCAAGATGAGTATTAATTCTATCCCCAAGTTGTACTCACATGATTGTCTAGACATGAATTCATTTGTGTAAATAGATCTACAAGTGATGTCACATACGGCATTTTCTGCCTTTACATAAGATGATCTGTCCTCTGATTGCTAGCCTGGCCTTGGCCTCCAGGCCAATTTCTGGCATACAGCTGCAGGTGTCCAGTCAACAATGAATAGAAGAAGCAATGCATTTTCAAAAATAAAGTTGCTCCCAATATATTTTAAAAGTTACTTAGTATTGCGATAATAAGAGTACAATAAAATATGAGAACAAGGAAGATTTACCTGCTTGAAGAAAAGTAAATTTGAAACTGCCTATACTCTGTCATGCTGAAGGAAAGACATTCCTGCAACTTAATTGTTTGCCACGAGGTCCAACACTCACTTGTAATTTTTGATTATATATTAGATAAATAGTTCTCACTGGAAGTGAAGGCTATAGATGCTCTATTGAATATAAATTTGGGTTACTTTAGGAAGAAGGTTCCAGTGGCTGATGAATCCACCCATTATATTCTAGAGAAAGTATTTTTCATTGAATTTTGAGCTACTAAGATATGCTTAGCATTTTTATTTAAAAAATTAAACTTCTCTCTTTCTTTGTGTGTGTATGTGTGTCTGTATGTCTGTCTGTCTCTCTGTCTGTCTTGCTTGCTCAATCAAAAGAATTTGTGTATGTTGTGGAAAGTTATTTACAGTCAAATGAAAATGTGATTTGGCAGGTTGTTGGTTTTTCTCATGTAAGACATAAGAATCTCAGATATAGCAGTTACATAAGAATCACAGATACAAGTGTTTATTGTGAAGTATTTCATTATATATTTTTTTCAATTAGAAACTTTTCAAGTTTAAAATAACCTTCAATGATAATTTTCTAAATGTCAGGATTTAAGCATAATCTATTGAATTTACTAATTCGGTCAGATAATTTTTCAGAAATTCTGAACCTTTAGAAGAATTGGCTCTTAAATCTTTTAAAATATGTCAGTATTTCAAAAAGGTTTGCAAATACTGATAAACCTTTGACTCTGGCCACTCTTTACGCTTTTGTGAAAAGTGATCTCCCTGTTGTTATTGCATGGATAAGGAGCGAAAGATACTTTTAATACTAAAATTCCTTTTATAGCTAATGTAAAAATAACTCATAGAAAAAGGTTACACTAAAGTGAAAGAAAAATAAATGAAAACTTTACACAGAGGCTTAGAAAGCCACCCTCCTAAGTGTAGTGAATCTAAACAAATGGTCAGACAATTCAATTTGATACCAATGAGACATACTTGACTTTAAGGACCTAAGAGGAGAGGTCAACTAACAGAGATTTTAGATAGATAGATACAAACAAACACAGGTGATAGACAGATAGATTACAGTTCTCCTGGATGTATAAATATGGTGGCTTCAGTCATTATTCTTCATTAATTTTCTTGCACATGACATTGCTTCGTGTTGGAAAGATCCATATAAGTGACTGTTAACTACACTTCTGCACTTTGTACAATACTTCTGATTTGGGGTGACATTTCTCAATTCCTATCATACTGCTGAGCAGTGCTTGCTGGAAGGGATGGGCATAATTTCTGAAACATGCAGTGTATATTTTAACAGTTTTATTCCTGTATAATTGAGATACAATAAATTGTGGATACTTAATGTATAGATTTTGAGAAATTTTAACGCATGTATACGCCTATGAAGCCATTGAGATAATAAGTATAACTGTCACTCCAAAAAGTTTTTTTGTGCCCATTTTTAATCCCTTTTCCCCTTCCCCTCATATGCTAGACTACCCTTGCCTTAGGCAACCAGTTACCTGTTTTCAATCAGTTTATATGCATTTCAAACATTGTATATAAATGAAATCATACAGTGTGCACAGTTTTATGCTGTTTTATTTTGTGCAAAATAATTATTCTAAAATCAGTCTACATGGTGCCTAAATCAATAGTTTATTCCTTTTAATGCTGAGTAGTATTTAATGGAGGATATACCACAATAATTTGTTTATCCATTTACCTGTTGATAAACATTTGTTTTTTTCCCCTATGTTTTGGCAATTAAAAATATAGCTGCTATGAACATTCAAGTATAAGTCTTTGTATGGACATATGCTTTTATACCTCTGAGGGAAATAACTTATGAATGCAATGTTTAGATCACATGGTAATTGAGTTTATACTGTTTAAAGAAATTGCCTGATAGTTTCCCAAATAGAGTGTTTCTTTTCCCATTTCTCCCAACAGTGTATGAGAAATCCAGTTCCTCCACATTCTTGACCATACTTAATAGGGTTACTCATTCTAATTTTAACTATTTAAATTTGTAGATACTGCGATCACAGTGTAGTTTAAATTTTCATTTCCATAATGAATAATGACATTGAGCATCTTTACATGTCTTTATTTGTCATCTATGTATCTTGTTTACTAAAATGCCTTTTAAAATCCTTTACTTATTGCTCCCCCATTGGGTTTTTTTTATTGTTGAATTTTGAGAGTTTTAAAATTTGTATATATATATATATATGATACCCTAAACATGTATTTGATAAAGGATTTGTGTCTAGTATGTATATATTATATATAGTATATATATAATATAGTGAATATATATAATTATATATTATATACATATTCTGGACACAAATCCTTTATCAGATACATATTTTTATATATAGTATATATATGATATAATGAATATATATACTTATATACATATTCTGGACACAAATCCTTTATCAGATACATGTTTTTATAAACTTTTCCCCAGTCTGCAACTTGCCTTTTTTTCTTCATGATGTCTATTGAAGAGCAGTTTTTTATTTTGATGAAATGTAATGAATTGCTTTTTTCTTACATGAATCGGAAAGAAGCACGTGGTTTTAATAGCTATCTGAACCATCACTGCTTTAACATTTTGCCCCAGCCTCTGTTTTTCATCAGCCATGTAATTTTGTTTTTCCCACCTTGCTGTTTTGGTCCTCTAATGAAGGGGCAATAAAACAAAAGAAAGTGGGTTAAAAGTAAGCTTAAAATGAAGGGTGGAAAAAAGAAAGGGACAGAAGGAAGAGAAAAATTAGTGGAAGATTTTTTAGGCCATTATAGTCTTGCTTCAATGATTTTATAGATTTTGTAGGGTAGTATGATATTAGAGAAACAAAACTTTATTCAAATTTATTTGATCATATGTAATACAATGTTCACAGAGAAGATACTTATACCAAAACTTCTTGACTGAACTAATTTGCTTCCATGGTTCACAAACTGATGAAATTCCAGTCATACAGAGATTTTCCTTACAGTACGTCTCCTTAGCAGTTGGAGGCAATGAAGCATGGAGTCAAAGGATGATGCAAGGTGGGTGTGAGGGGACCAATTGCAAAGACAGAAAATGCTTTGCCAGATTTACCCATTACTATGGAAACTGGCTTTTGGCAGTTTTCTGAGGGATGAGAGTTTAGGTGATTAATGTGCAGTATCTGAGCTCTATCTCTTTAGGTCAAATTAAATGTTATGTAAGGACAAGTGTACTTCAAAACATTTATGAAAATGCATATTATGAAAAAAATCTATTCATGGATTTCAAAATACTTTTTGCACCAAAATAAACTCATGCTAACTTGACATAACATATGTAAACAGGACCTAGTTTGAGATTCTAAGTAGGATGAGACATCATTTGAAAGAGACCCAATGAAAGCAATATGAATTCTGCTGATATTGAAATAAGAGCAAACACCAAATTTACGGTGAAGCTTTAGCGGAAAAAATGGTGAAATCATTGATGCTTTACAGAAAGTTTATGGGAACAATACCCCAAAGAAGTCAGCAGTTTACAAATGGGTAACTCATTTTAAGAATGTACAAGATTATGTTGAAAATGAAGTTCACAGTGGCAGGCACATCAATTTGAGAGTAAAAATTCATCCTGTTTGAGTCCTAATTCAATAGGACCTACAGTTACTGGCAAAAACAATAGCCAACACTATAGACATCTTAATTTGTTTAGCTTATAGAATTGTGACTGAAAAGTTAAAGTTGAGCAAACTTTGTACTTGATGAGTGCCAAAACTGTCACACCCAGATCAGCTGCGAACAAAAGCAGAGCTTTCAATGGAAATTTTAAACAAATGAGATCAAGATTCTGAAGCATTTCTTCAAGTAATTGTAACAGGTAAAACATGGCTTTACTGGCAAAATCTTGAATACAAAGTAAATTAAAGCAAGAGGTAGAAGTGCGCCAGTTAAAGCAAAATATGATAGCAAAGGTCATGGCAACAGTTTTTTAGGATGCTCAGGGCATTTAGCTTGTTGATTTTCTGCAAGGCCAAAGAACAATAACATTTGATTATTAAGAGAGTATTTTGAGTAAGTTATCCAGAGCTTCAGCAAAAAAAATGCCCAGGTAAGCTTATCCAGATGGTTCTTCTGCACCATGACAATGCTCCTGCTCATTCCTCTCATCAGACAAGGGCACTTTTGTGAGACTTTCAATGGGAAATCATTAGGCATCTACCTTACAGTCTGGATTTGACTCTTTCTGACTTCTGCTTTTTTTTCCTCATCTTAAAAAAATCTTTAAAGGGCAGTATTTTTCTTCAGTTAATAATGTAATAAAGACTGCTTTGACATGGTTAAATTTCCAGGACCCTCAGTTTTCTTAGGGATGAACTAAATGGCTGATACCAACACTTACAAAAGTGTCTTGAACTTGATATAGCTTATGTTGAGAAATAAAATTTATATAATTTTTATTCTTGTTTTAATTCCATTTTTCCATAAACTTTTTGAAGTTCCCTCATATGTGAGTGATTTTTATATTTTTCCAATCAAAATTGTAGTTATTCTGTAGTATATTTTGTGATATTCAAGCACAATTTAATTTATAATTTCTCATATTATATGCCAGGGAAATATATATGCCTTTGCCACTTACTAACTGTGTGATCTAGGCAAAAAGACAACCTTCCCTAAGCCCAGGTTCTTCAGCTTTAAAATGGGCCCAGTGAGTAATTAACTCCTATGTTTCTTGCAAGAGTTAACTAAGATGATGAACAGGAAGCATTTAGCATATGCCTAGCACACAGTAAGCATTCAATAAATATTTTAAAAATTATTTTCAAAGGAAAACCCATTAATATAAAATTATGTTTTTCAGCCTTTAAACTTCAGGCTTTTATATGATAATATATACTTGGAAAAAACTTGATTAAAAAAGACTTGTATACTAGAAAATGTTTTACTGACTGTGAAAAAATGATTTTGAAAAATCAACCACTTAATGTTTAGCAAAGAAACAAGTCTGTTTTTCAAAATTAAAACTTGTGCTATTAAAAACATAATGGGTTTAATTGCTATTCCTATTAGATTTTTTCCCCCTCATAGTCTATTGAGACAAACTGAAAATCTCCATTAATTCAATGATGCTGTTATCTTAATGTGGGGAGTTGCTTTTAGATACTAGTATTATTACTGTCATATTTATAGTTTTACCAAAGCAGTCTAATAATTTTCCTATTACTTTGACAAACTCAAGCACCAGCAAACCAAGTTTTATATTTATTTCTGTTTCCTGTTGGAACAATTGACCTTACCCTGAAGAGTGGAATATAGGCCAAAAACATAGCATGTACATATGTTGTGAAAAAAAGTTATCATGTTTTGGAAAATATATTATTCTCATAATCATTATTTGCTGCATTTCATTTGAAGATTTACTGCTGACAATCAGGTTGCTAAGTATAATATTATTCATTATAATATGTGACAAGAATTTGAGTGTCTCTTCCACAGTAGCTAATTAACAATAAAAAATATACGTAAAAGGAAAAGAAAAAAATGTTTAGAAACAAAATTAAATTGACATTGTCAAGAAAAAGGTTTTTCATGAGAAAAATATCTGGGCAAATTAATGGCATACTTCTAAGATATATTGTTTAAAAATGTTCCTTCAATTAAAACGTGAACTACTGAGTAAACACATAATTGCTTCTGTAGTTCTCTTCACCAATTTTTATTTTTTGTGATAGTTAACTATTTCTCATTCTGTTCTATAATATACAGTCTTGTAATACTCATATAGGGCTTTTAAATTATTTTACAAATGAATGCCCAATTTCTATTTGTTAAGGGATAATAAAACATAATAAACTTTAAATGAGTGAGTTAGGGGAAAGAAAAATATGCTGAGTCTATAATGGACTGAAATGAATGAGAATGGAAAATATGTACTTTTAATTTGTGAGAGCACAGATGGTCCTGGAGTTATAATGTTTCTACTTATGACTTTTCAACTTTATGATGGTGCAAAAGCAATACACATTTAGGACACTCCTTGACTTATGATGGGAGTTATGGCTGTATAAACCCATTGTATATTTATAAAATATGGTAAGTTTAAAGTGCATTGTCAACTTATGATATTTTCAACTTATGATCATTTTACCAGGATATAAGCCTCTTTGCAAATTGAGGGGCATCTATACTTGATAGTATTTGAAATACTGATTAGATTTCCTTATTATTTAAGCCAAGCATATTGTGTAACATATGTAGGTTTATCTAAATATTGGCTTTATCTGACTGAATTGTTTTCTTAATTTCCTACTCAAATTGTTCATTGCTAGTGTATAAAAATGTAACTGATTTTGCATGTTGATTTTGTTCATGAACATTTGCTGAATGCTTTAACAAGTTTTTATGTGGAATCCTTAAGGTTTTCTGTATACAGCATGTCATATAAAAAGAAAAAAATATTTTTTCTTTCTAATTTGGATGCCTCTATTACTTTTTTCATAACTCCTTTGCCTAGAACACCCAGTACTATATTGGATAGAAGTGGAAAAAATACAGGCATCCTTGTCTTGTTTCTGATCTTAGAGGAAGAGCTTTCTGTCTTATACCTTACATATGATGTTACGTGTGAGTTTATCCTACATTGCCATTATTGTGTTTTGGATGTTTCCTTCTATTCCTAGTTTATTGAATGTTTCTTTTTAATCATAAAAGGGTGTTGAATTCTGTCAAGTGCTTTCTTTTTTCTTTTCTTTTTTTTCTTTCTTTTTTTGAGACAGGGTCTCACTCTGTCCTCAGGCTGGAGTGCAGTGGCACCATCCTGGCTCACTGCAACCTTCACCTCCCAGGCTCAAGTGATTCTACTGAGTAGCTGGGACTACAGGCGGGTGCCACCACACCAGGCTAATTTTTGTATTTTTTGTAGGAACGGGATTTTGCCATGTTGCTCAGGCTGGTCTTGAACTCCTGGGCTTAAGCTATCCACCCACCTCAGCCTCCCAAAGTGCTGGGACTACAGGCATGAACCACCACAACTGACCTGAATTTTGTCAAAAGTTTTCTATGCATTAAGTGAGATCGTCGTGTGTGTGTGTGTGTGTGTGTGTGTGTGTGTGTGTGTGTGTTTTCCTACATTCTATTACTGTGGTATATTAAATTGATTGATTTTTGTATGTTGAATGACCATTCATTCATTCTGGAAATTAATTTCATTTGATCATAGTGTATAATCCTTTTACTATGTTGCTGAATTCAGTATGCCAGTGTTTTGTTGAGGATTTCTGCATGAATGTTCACAAGAGATACTGGACTTTAGTTTTCTTTTCTTGTAGTGTCTTTGTCTGGTTTGGTATCAGGGCAATGCTACCCTTCTAGAATGAGTTAGTAAGTGTTTCCTCCTCTTCAAATGTTTGGAGGTGTTTGAGAAAGATTGATGTTAATTCCTCTTTAAATGTTTGGTAGAATTCAGCAGGGAAGACATCTGGTCTTGGGCTTTACTTTGTTGGAAGGTTTTTTATTACTGATTCAATATCCTCACAGTTTTGTATCTATGCAGATCTTCTAGTTCTTCAAGAGACAGTTTTCGTAGATTATGTGTTTCTAAGAAATTTTCCATTTAATCTAAAGTAATCCATTTTTTTGGTGTATAATTATTCATAATATTCTCTTATAATCATTTTTATTTTGGTAAAATTCATAGCATAAAAACATATTTATATATGTATATATATATATAATCTTAATTCATGTCACTAGTCATGCATACCAAGATTGAAATCAAGTCCCTGTTGTTTTGCATTTATGAATAATATTTCAACAGCATCTTTGTATATAACTCTTCACTGTGCTAGTTTACCTGTAGGGATAACATTTAATATACAAGTTATTTATAGGATAAATAACAAAATTGATATGTCAAAGGTGATATGCACTTTCAAGTTTGTGGATTTTGCAAAATAACTCTCCAAAAAAATACCCGTTTTCTCTCTCACTACCAGTGTTTGAGATCAGGGCTGTCACTCAACATTTTTATCTAAGGTGAATGTTACCAAAGGTGTTAAGAATTGCCAATTTGAAAGAAAAATATCTTTTTTTATTTTTGGAGGGGAGTATAAGTAATTTGAATCTATATTTCCATATAATGTGCTTATTAAATTTTAGTATGTGTTATTTTAGCTTTAAATATTAAACTACAACTTTTACTCTCTACCTTTAATGCATTCTAAAATTTTAAGTAGCATGACAATCTTCTGTTATTTACAGATTTGCTTAGGTCAGTGTCAGGTATGTTTTGAGTCATTTTTGGTAATTTATGTTGCACATTCCATCCAGATTTTAGAACTAAGCCTAGAATAATATTAGTATGTGTGTGTAAATAAACATAAAAATATACAAATATACAAATACATATCTACACACCCATTAGAAAGAATTGGTTCTCAGATTTATGTGAGAGTTGAACAACTGGATTAATGTCCAGAAGTAACTGAGAAAGAACAATACACCATGTGCAAAATTATTAAATATAGGATGGTGATCTTGAGTCTAGTACATGACTACCCACGGATGATAGCAGGCAGCATAGTCTAATGTCATGCTTTTCAAAGAAGCCTGGAATTTTGAGGGAGTTGGGAGGAGAAATCTTCTAGCAGAAGCAATACAGAGAAAGAATACTTCCCAGAGTTCCATGACTGTGGGACAATGAGAGGACTGCAGTGAGAACCTTCCTGTGGCTTCTTTGCATACAATTTCTTACAGTATATTCTTATTCTGATTTAATTTATTTTGCAACTATAGAAGAAATTATTTAATTTCATGGACATGTACAGTAAATTATTCACATTTAGTTTCATAATAGCAGTTATATTCCATGTAAACATAAAAGTGATCCAATAATGGAAAAATGAAGCTGATAGTGAATATAAGATGTCACATTGTCTTGTCAAGTCTCTATCCTCTGTCTTTTAAAATGGAAAACAAAAGCAGCAAGTGTTCTGTTGATGATAGTAAATGTTATGTCTTACAAGTATTCAAAGCCCATAGCAGGCATGATCTGTGCCTGGAGGAATTCATGGCCTGTTCCTGTGGCTTGCTGTCACTGCATTGGACAGTGAGGACATATATGTACCTGAGGACAATGCATTTTTAAAAAGAAGTGGATTTCAAACATTTTTGTCTAAGGCCTAGAATTTAAAAAAATATTGATTTTACATTGTGACTCAATAAACACAAACATATACATATTCTCTATTATATGCACAGCTACAAATAAAACAGAAACAAAATTTGTATGAAGCAATACTTTCTTTACTATGTAGAATGTGTTTTCAGTTTAATCTCTGTCCTGTCCAGTATTAAAGATACTGGAAACATGTGGCTATTTCAATTTCAGTTAATTAAAACCAAATAATATTACATTAGCCATATGTGGCTAGTGGCTACCATATTGGATAGCACAAATATAGAATATTACCATCTTGTCAAGTCTCTATCCTCAGCTGCAGGTCTGTTGGAGTTTGCTGGAGGTCCACTCCAGACCCTGTTTGCCTGAGTATCACCAGTAGAGGCTGCAGAACAGCAAGTATTGCAGAACAGCAAATATTGCTGCCTGATCCCTCCTCTGGAAGCTTTGTCCCAAATGGGCACCAGCCTGTATGAGGTGTCAATCGGCCCCTACTGGGAGGTGTCTCCCAGTTAGGCTACACGGGGGTCAGGGAACCACTTGAGGAGGCAGTCTGTCTGTTCTCAGAGCTCAAACACCGTGCTGGGAGAACCACTGCTCTCTTCAGAGCTGTCAGACAGGGACGTGTAAGTCTGCAGAAGTTTCTAATGCCTTTTGTTCAGCTATGCCCTGCCCACAGAGGTGGAGTCTACAGAGGCATCAGGCCTTGTTGAGCTGCGGTGGGCTCCACTCAGTTCAAGCTACCCCAGCTTCTTTCTTTACCTACTCAAGCCTCAGCAATGGCAGACTCCCCTCCCCCTGCCAGGCTGCTGCCTTGCAGGTCGATCTCAGACTGCTGCACTAGCAGTGAGCAAGGCTCCGTGGGCGTGGGACCCGCCAAGCCAGTCGTGGGATATAATCTCCTGGTGTGCCATTTGCTAAAACCGTTGGAAAAGCACAGTATTTGGGCAGGAGTTTCCCATTTTTCCAGGTACAGTCTATCATAGCTTCCCTTGGCTAGGAAAAGCAAATCCCCAAACCCCTTGTGCTTCCTAGGTGAGGCGATGCCCTGCCCTGCTTAGGCTCACCCTCTGTGGGCTGCACTCACTCTCCAACCAGTCCCAGTGAGATGAACCAGGTACTTCAGTTGGAAATGCAGAAATCACCCGTCTTCTGCGTCGATCATGCTGGGAGCTGCAGACCGGAGCTGTTCCTATTTGGCCACCTTGGAACAGACCCCAAATGTATAATTTCACAACATAGCTAACATACAGTTATTAGTAGTATGTTTTACATTCTGTTTTACACAGTCTGTGGAATATAATGTATATTTCACACAGCACATCTTATTTAGGACTACCAACATTTTAATTGCTCAGTAGTCACATGTGACTAATGGCTGTCATATTGTACAGGACATGTCTAAAGTTACAACTTTCAGGACTTTTGGTCACCTGCCTAACTGTCTGTAAAAATATGAAACACGTGAAACATCTGTATTGCCTGTCAACACACGAAACACCTGTATTTCTCACCTCCCCCCAGAAACAAGTTAAAATATTATTTTTTTTCCAAATTAGGCATTTCTTTCTTTTAGATATCTGTCCTCTTCAAGAGCAGTGTGACCAACAGTATCTTACTGTTTGGGACCATCTCCTAACCAGGAATAATAAGAACATAAATAAAGATGTCATTTATTGGGTATTTGCTCTGTGCTTTTGGCTAATTGTTTTCCATATGCGTTTCATTTCAAGTTGGTTTTACATACACACATTATTATGTCTTATTTCAAGATGATTTTACTTCAAGCTCTCTCTCTAAGGAGACCACACTCCAAAAAAATAGAATTTATTAAAAAAAATTCAGGAAGAGTTTGTTACTCTCAAGTAAAAACTAAGAAAATATTGGTGTTTAATTGTAGTTCTACTTGTCTTTACAATTAATGAAGTGTGGATACTACCATAATTCAACTAAACAGTATTTATAGGCATTGCTGTAAACTATTTGATTTTGATGCATGGCTAGAAACATACAGTTTTGTGTGCAAAGGTTTGTTTATGTCAAGCTGGTATTTAGAGGTCAGGGACCATTTCTGAATCATTTCCATAAGAATATAAACTTTAATTTAAAAATTAATACCAACTTATATAGGTCAACTTTAGTATAAAAAAATTCCAGAGTGATGATTTTTTATAGTAATAACTTTTGTTTTTTTGTTTTGTTTTGTTTTTGAGACAGTTTTGCTCTTTCACCCGGGATGGAGTACAGTGGTGCCATCTCAGCTCACTGCAACTTCCGCCTCCCGGGTTCAAGTAATTCTCCTGCCTCAGCCTCCCAAGTAGCTGGGATTACAGATGTGTGCCACCACGCCTGGCTAATTTTTGTATTTTTAGTAGAAACAAGTTTCATCATGTTGGCCAGGCTGGTCTCGAACTCCTGACCTCAAGCAGTCCACCCTCCTCAGCCTCCCAAAGTGCTGGGATTACAGGCATGAGCCACTGTGCCTGGCCTCACTAATAACTTTTATAACAAAATGTTTAACATTTTATATATTAAATATTTTCAAGAAATTTCATGCTTGGGATATTGTGATATTATATAAAATAAAATAAATATTATTTTAATGGGGTAATAAATAGAGCATTAAAATGACTTAGGAAGAAAATAAGAACAGTTACCCAGGGGCAATAAGTATTCTGAAAGTTGATGCATTTATATTATTTTCCACTTTCTAAAATTATCTTAGAAAAGTTGTTGAAAAATTACCATTTTAATGGAGATTTTGAAAACATTTCCTTAAACTCTTTCCTTGAGCTTTTCCTTAAAATGTTCTGAATAGGTATGAGGTTTAATTCTAACACTGACATCTAGAATTAATTTTCACTTTATATTTATATATCTTAAGCTAGAGTAACTTTAATATCTGTAGCTTACCTTTTGTTTCAGAAAACTAAACCCTGATTAATAGGGCATCTTGTACTTATGTGTTGTAGGTACAATTACATTTTCTACTACAAGAAGATGTACTACAAGAAGGAAACATGATGATTATGAGGAAGACACAGATCAAGATCAAGCCCTCTCCTGTCTTGATTCAATAACAGAACAATCTAGCATTTTGGATGATGCAGACACATGTAAGTTTATTATGACAGAGTTTCACTATTAGTTTGCATAAATCCAAATCATCATTCACTTTTGAATGAAATAGATAGTTTACACGCATAATACATATCCAAATTTGTATTGCATGTTTCCATAAGAATTTTATTATTTCAGTATTAACTATATGTAGCATATATTCTGGAGTTCCACTGCTATTAATGTCAATAGTATCAAAATACTTCAGCTAGAAGGGTGCCCACTCTTTCATAATTGAAAAGCTTTACATATTTTTCTGTCACTATACAAAAGCATACAGCAAATTTCTAATAAAATGTTAATGAGTATATTGTTTTAATAATGTAATATGCATTGCTTACTTCAATATAAGAGATACTAGCAATCTTCCTCATATGCCAAAGAAACTAAACACTATTTTTCCCCCTATATTATAAAGCTTTATTTGAATGTTGTTAAACATCATGTCTTTTTAGTACAAGTTCCAAGTAAAATAAGGTGATGAGGAGTTGGAATACTCAGGGCAGGTTTCCTGGAAATGGGTGAATGAGTTTTTCTTTTATGGGTGAGTAGCAGGGATGCAAGGCCTTAGTAAAGAAAAGTGGTTCAACAGGGACAAACTTGTGGAGACATTTTAAATGTTATACAAAAGAAGAAATCTTTATTGAATGAATTCGTATTAGATAGCATTCTTCACAGAAACAGAAATGATGGAGTGTGTGTGTCTGTATTTGTGTGTCTGTGTGTATTGAGAGAGAAAGATTTGCAATTGACACCATTGTGGGAGCTGGTAAATCTAAAATCTGCAAGGCAAGCCAGCAGGCTAAAAAGTCAATGTCAATGTTGCAGCCTTGAGTCCAAATTCCCCAGGATAGGACAGGCAGGCTGGAAATTCAGGCAGTCTTTCTATGTTACAGTCTTGAGAAATAATTGCTTCTTTTTGGAGGAACACCAGTGGTTGCACTTAAGGCCTTCAACTCATTGGAGGAGGCCTACTCAATGGAAGATAATTTGCTTTACTCAAATTATACTAATATAAATGTTAATCACATTTCTAAAATAGCTTCACAGGAACATCTAGACTAGTGTTTGTTCATACAACTGGGCAGTATAGCCCAGCAAAGTTGACACATGAAATTAAGCATCACAGAATCCATGGACTAAAGAGTAGTATTTAGGAATATTCAAAATGATTTGGGAAGAGAAGTTGGGCCAGTTAGACTACTACAACAGCAAATTGAGTTTAAAGTGAAGACAACCAGGTATTTTATGGTGGTGGTGGTGATGGAAATATAGAAATATCACTAAAGATGAGAAATATTTCAGAGACTAGCATTGGATGACTGTCCTTATAGAAGATAATGAAAAAGGGCATTGATTCTAAAAAATAATAATAAGAGTTCGTTTGTATTTTGGTCAATAGAAAAAAAAAGAAATTCAGAAGGAAAGAAAAAAGTTTTGGAGATTGTAACACTTAGCAAAGTTTTGTACTTCATGATGTTGATCTGACATCAAGATATTTACATAGCAATATCCAGTTGCCAATTGAATCTTTGTAGCTGAAACTAGGAAAAAAAAAACAATATTAACATGAGTTGTAAAGGTTTAGGGTCTCTTTCAGTGAAATCATGCAGGTGAGACAAAGGAATAGATAATTGCTGTAGATGTGTTATGTTAAAAGTTAAATCCTCATTAATATCTAGGGCAGAAGAACCATGAAGGAAAACCTTCATGAGGGTTAAAGTGTTCAGAAGAATTTGAAGGAAAATCAAAATATTATGATTTTATGTTAATAGGCTAAAAAAGACTGATCTCTAATAAACATACTAACCTACATATTAACAGGTTGAAAGATAGATTAAAAGCTAGGAAAAATGTACCTGACAACATTAAAGGTATCCCTGATTCTTCAGACAGGTCTTTTCATATCCTTACTCTCAGACAGAATTAACTTTTCCCCTATAATAACATGGATCCTTTTTTAAAGACTGCTCCACAGTGTATTTATTTTCAATTAGAGAAATCTTCTAGCTTTCCTCTCATCAAAGAAATGAAAGCAACACCTAAATCAGAATGTTTTAACCTTCCGAATAGGGAAATATGAAAGATAATGGTAATACCCATTTTTAATGAGAATCAGATCAAAAGATGCAATTGCATGCATTACAACAGAAATTTAAATTGATAAAAACTTTTTTAAGAGAACATTTATAGTATATTTAAACTTTTAATAATTTTTTATCTCCTTCAATCCAATGATTCAGTCTAAGGAATTTGTTAGAATATTCAAAGATATACAAAACATATGACATTTAAGAATGTTTCTTTTGTGATATATTGAATAATTGAAACTAAAGTTTTAATAGTGAGTATTTTCTGAATAATATAAATGTGTATATTCTTATGTACATATGAATGTATCAATTATGTATATTGTATACACCCCAGTATATTTATGTGTCTATGTCTATATATCCATATCTTTCTTGATATTTTGAGCCTGGAATTTTGTACAAATATATTAAGTAGCTGTCATTTAGTCATGAAATTATGAAGAACTTTCATTTTCATACTATTCAGGAATTTCTAAAATCACTATAGTGAATGCTATTGATTTTATAATTAGAAAAATATTTTAATTTAAGGCTCAGAGTTAAAAAACAATCACTATTTTGTTGTTGTTTTCATCAATAAATCATTCACCAATCCCACTCTAATCAATAAATTAATACTCAATGTACATGTCTAGTACTGTAGGAACTAAATCAGCTACATCACAACACTGCCACGTGTGATAGTCACAGTAATTATAAATAACAGGTGTTATTGTCCCTGCGATGGTTAATTTTATGTGTCAACTTAGCCAGGCCACAGGGCCCAGATACTTGGTCAACTTTATTTTTAATGTTTCTGAGAAAGTGTTTTTTGGATGAGATTAACATTTGAATCCATGGACTCTGAATAAAGCAGATTACCCTCCATAATGTGGTTGAGCTTCATCCAATCAGTTGAAAACCTTAGTAAAATAAAATCTGACCTACCCCAATATACTTCAGATTTTGGATTTACCAAGCCTCCACAGTTGTGTGAGCCAATTTCTTAAAATCTCTGTCTTTCTCGCTCTTCTTTACACATCCTGCTAGTTCCATCTCTCTGAAGAACCATGACAAATATAGTCCCTGTTCCACAAATGGGCAGACTCTTGAGATTCTTTGCCAAAAATCACCAACTAATGGTGGTCACATTGGGATTTGAACCCTGGCCTTATAACTCTGAGTCGTTCCACTGATCTTTGCATTAACCCAGAGTCATGAAGCATCTCCTCAGTCATAGCTACTGTTTATTTCCAGAATTATTTTCTCTGTGAGTTCAGTGTGGGTTAAAATATTGGAAAGGCCCAGATAAAATATGCATAAGCTACCTAGAAGGGAAAACACTTTTCATTTTAAGAACTTTGATTTATTTTGGGAGAAGTCACATTTAAATGTCATAAAAGCACTTAAAGTGCTTTTATAAAATTGAAGGAGCAAATGTGAGCAGAGCCTTCCTTAATAATCTCTCATCAGTATAAATTTGGTAACCTTATTTTCTGCACATTTCTGCTTTTAAGGGAATGAACTGATGTCTGAAAAATAAACAAGTACAGGAGTCAGTTCAAAATGTGGAAATAAATTTGCCCTCAAGAACTCCTCATAGTTATTTGGAATAAGAATTCAACTGGGTCTTATTAATTGTAACTATTTTTTTCTCTTTCTCCCTCTTACTAGCTGTTTACGTTAAATATCTGGATTGTTCTCAGGTCCACCAATCTTACAAGTATTTTAGATACCTAAAGTGTTGAAACAGGATGCAAAATAGTACAATACAGTATGGTACAGAACAGTGCAGTGCAGTAAAATACAATGTCATGCAATACAATCCCATACAAAGCTATGAACGCCATACAGTGCAATACAATACAACACAATACGATGCTATTCACTGTCATACAGTGCCATACAATACAGTACAATGCAATGCAAAACATATACTCATGAAAAACCTTTTCAGTAGAGAGAAACACTGAGAATTCCACTAGTTTGTGCTTCTTATTTCATAGATGAGGAAACTGAGGCCCAAAGAGGTTAGCAATTTACCTAAATAAGTTAATCTAGCATAACAGTTCTTGAAATCTTTTAAACATGACAATACTGATGTGAATATGTATACAATTTACTGAAATTGGAGGACAATCTTAAGCCATGACCTAGTTCAACACAGGAAAACAAAAGAATATCAAAATGGGAAGCTGAACAGAGAGGAAAAACAAAACAAAACAAAACTGAATTTGACAGACGTAAAAAACCTTTTTATGAAGGGCCTGGTTGATGAGGATTCCAGTTTTAGCATGAGGGAGTATGGTTTTGGTTATCATCAGGGGCAGAATTGCCTGCTTTTTAAAAATATTAGGAAAGCAAGATATAAAAATAATTGTCTCACGACTTAGTCTATGTCCCTTTCAGAATTTCCTTGGGCTAAATTCTTAGGATCCTTTTTCACATTTTCAGGAAACATGCAATCTCATTTTCCTGACTTTCTCCTTATACTAGATTCTTATGGTCCTGGAAATGTAGCATTGTAAATTGTAATGACTTATTTAGATATATCTATGTACAAATACATGAATAGTTTGTCAATGAGAAAAAAGATTGGTTATTACTTTTTGAAACATTAATCCTTAACTTAAAAGTAAAACATTCCGAAATTCATTTTATGGAAGAACTTAATGAGTTACTGGCATAGGTATAGGGCCAGGAACTTGTACAGGACATTCTCTTGGCCATGCAAGGATGGAGCTTCTCTTATTCCTCACTAACTGTGATAAAAACAGCTTCTCACCCTTTCTTCAGCTGTCTTGACAAAAAGTCCATTAAACAAAAAGGTTGAAAATGATGTCTGTTCATGATTCTCAAATGTGTATGTTAAGTATGGTATTCTGAAGTCTATATTAAAAAGTGTTTTGTTTTGTTTTTCAGATGGTAATTTTAACAATTTAAGATTCTGGTATAATCTTGAGATCCATAGCACTCCTGGACCACCCATAGAGATTATGGAAATGACATGTATTGCTCTGGTAAGTGCCCATTGCATGTTCATAGACTCTGTCATTTTGTGAGCACTCAGACCTTTTGTTGTATAGTAAATTATTTACTATCCCTTAAAAGGTCTGTATCAGATGATTGTATTAAGATAAATTAGTCAATCATAGCAATTTTATTTTTAAATCTAGTACTACGGACTTTAAATGCTTTTGGAAAACATCTTTTAGTTATATGTTATCTTATAGTGACTGCATTGATTAGCATTCTATCTGTTTCAAGAGTTACTAGAGCAAACTTAACCTTAGTCTACATGTTTGTTCACACATAGATGATAAAAACAGGATTGTGCTACTAGACTCTTTCAGCATTGCTTTTTCCTGGTTTCTACAGCAGACCTTTCACTTGGAAACATATTTGGAGCAACTGGCATACATTTGGGGTTTCCATTAATACTCGGAATAGATTTTGTCTGATGTGAATTACTAAAATGTTACTAAATTTGTGTCAAAAATTATTTAATAAAGTTAAATATTAAGAGTCTTATTTTAAATGAAACATGAGGACAATATTGCTATTAACAATGTTTTAGTTAAATTTAGTTTCCTTATTGTTAGTACTCAAATATTTAAATTGATAATAATAAATGTTATTTTTATTTTTAAATATGTGGATAGATTTCTTTATAGAATTGATTACTTAGAATCTTGAACTTTGGTTCCAATAAATAGAAAGTAAAAAAAAAAAAAGATTTAAAATACTATAAATTTACAAATTGATTATTTGCCCACCTGATTTCTGGGTAAATCTCCATTTAGGCATAGAAGATGAATGATTAAAATTTTGAAATGTGCTCAAGTATAGATTGCAAAAGCATTATCTTCTAAGTGGAAAACTATTTAATATGACAGTAGGATCATTTCACTCAATGAAAATGTCTTATTTCTGTGAATTGGTTACCACTGCAGTGTAAAATCTTCCTTAAAGGTTACTTTAAAATATACATTAAAATGTATCCCTTTATCAAGACGTAGAGAAAAACATTTAAATAGGCTTTGAAAAAATTGAGTGCATGATGTAGCACCTCAGAAAAGGAGAAATTGGCTTTCTTATTAACTATATGCTTAAAATAGGAATAGAGATGACAAAATATGCAAAACAAACAGAAGTAAATACAATTTTAAAATAAATTATAGATGGTCAATTGTTGCATTTTCTCATTAAGTGGTGTATAAAGTGCCTTTTTTTTCTGCAAGAGCTATTAGCCCTTCAAGAAAATACTGATAGAAATTGAGATTTCTATAGCTCTCAACCTTAAAAGGTGAAGACTGTCACACAGGCTGAGAAATACACACCATCAGGGTACTTTATGTGCATATTTAAGAAGATTGAGCAAAAAGCAAAAACAAACAAACAAAAAACCAAAACCAAAACCAAAAAACCACTACTTATCTCTTTGAATGAGAAATTTCAAATATGTTTTCATTTATGAAATTAAATTTGCATATACCCTTTCAGGAATATATTATTTTAATAAATAATGTACTTTTGAATAATGGCCCTTGTTCATTTTTCATCAAGGACTTGCCCCTCCCCATGTATATTATAATGTAATCCTAATTCAGTTTGTACTGATTTCCTATAAGTTTTCAATTTAAACCTCTTTTTGTTTTGGCACCACAGTGGGATATGTGTAACTCGTCTTACGCACATATATATTTCTAATTGCTATCATTTTTGCTTTTATTATTCGTTATGAACAGTTAGCATAGTTATTTCATAAATATACTTAAATGATATTTTTTCATGGTCTACTTAGATTAAAACGCAATTATCGAGTCCCCTTTTCATTGAGTAGTTTTACGTTATAAGGCAGGAATGAAACTTCTTAACACATGACAGCTGCTAGATAGTTTCCTTGTTACCATAGGCAGGTTTGCTGTATTAATTAAATGTTCACATTTAACTGTGATTTGTTGAGAAGGGACATCTTTTTCAACTAAGTTTACCAACTTAGGCTATCGTGGCTAGTGATGTTGCCAAATTATTAAGTTTTCTCACGTTTCTAGTCGTAATTGTCGAAGGTAAAAATCTATTCCCTCTTTAACTTTCAGACATGAAGATTTATTTACTAGAGATAGTATGATCTCTTTTAAATAATGCCATCAAATGAAACCTTTGTCCATTATTTGAAGAAGATGCTTTCCAACTACTTTCAGAAGTATACTAAAATTGTGGTCCTCACTTGTATATTATTTCCTAATATTATTGAATGCATATTCTGTTCAGATGAATCATTTGAGAAATACTTTATTTAAACTTTATACCTCCAGATGTGGCAATGGTGCACTCAAGATACTAAGCCATCTCTTATTTTTTTATCTGCATCTCAGTTTTTATTACATTCAACTCAAATTTCCACATTTTTTCTACAGATGAATGATTGATCAGAATCTCTCTAAAATAGGGTTCATGTAAGAAATACTTACAGTCTTGAAACACATATATTTGGTTATTTCTTGCTGCAGGTTCCAAAACCAGATTACATTCTCAGTAAATAATACTTGCTTGTTAGTAGTCCATTCTCTGTTAGTATAAAGTATTTAGGATTTCCTTTGGAAATTTTAACATGTAATAGCTGCTGTTCCATTTTGTTTGATCTCAAAAATCTCTTGTATGTCATATAGTTTGGCTATGGGAGAATGATGACAATAACCCGCTGTCTTTCCACTGACACTCAATAACTCTAATATATAGCACTGAGCTATAAATATTTTGTGGAAACAAAACTTAAGTGTGTGAGCAACTCTTTATATAATTTACATTTTAAACAGCCATAGCCTTCAAAATACTTACTTCATTGTCAGTGAAAATTGCATGATCATTTATTTCTTTCTGAGCTTTTAATTTATAAACAACCTTCAATGAAATTCACTATATTGTTAATTAAGAGATCCAGAAATCTCTCCACAAACTAGCAAAAGAGAAGGACAGTTAAAAACACCGTTAATCCTCTTGGTGTCAAACATAAAAGCATCCATACAAAACAACACAAGTGAGACCAGGTGCGGTGGCTTATGCCTGTAATCCCAGCACTTTGGGAAGCCAAGGTGGTAGGCTTGCTTGAGCTCGGGAGTTTGAGACCAGCCTGGGCAACATAGTGAGACTTTGTCTCTAGTAAACAAAATAAAAATTTAAAAAACACATGTGAGTTGCCAACCATTTTTAAAAAGTTTTTAGTTTTAGCCTCCATAAATTCAAAAATATATTTTGAGTTACTGTTTTCAATGTATTTTCTTCTTTCATCCTTTTTTTTTTTTTTTTTTTTGATGGGGTTTTGCTCTTGTTGCTCAGGCTGGAGTGTAATGGCATGATCTTGGCTCACCACAACATCCGCCTCCCGGGTTCAAGCGATTCTCCTGCCTCGGCCTCCTGAGTAGCTGGGATTACAGGCATGTGCCATCATGGCCAGCTAATTTTGTGTTTTTAGTAGAGATGGGGTTTCTCCATGTCGGTCAGGCTGGTCTTGAACTCCCGACCTCAGATGATCTGCCCCCCCGCCTCAGCCTCCCAAAGTGCTGGGATTACAAGCGTGAGCCACCGCACCCGGGCCTCTTTCATACTTTGTATACTTTATTTTTCTATAGGAAAGATCATATATCATAAGTGTTGTCCATGACATTGAAATTTTTCTTCCTCATGAAATGTTGAGGAAGCAAAATTAGCATTCTGCCTTTAATTTATCCTAAGTTGTAAAAAATTCTTAAATACTATTTTTTAATCCGGAAAAAATATCTCATGGTCTAATTTGAGTTAAATACAAAAAATGAAGATGTAGCTAGGGAGGCTATTTTGATTAATGTTGAAAACACTCATATAAAAAATATTCTATAAAAGTTAGAATTATGATAAAATCTCATCTCTAATCTGCCTATACTCTATTTTTAAAAATTTTAAAGCACTTGTTGGCTCCCAAAAGATATAATGTTCTTCCTAAAATTATAGAGCTAATATACTTGGATTTAATATCTACATTAATTGCCAGAATATTTTCTGATTCATTTACTTATTTCTAAATTCTGAATTGATTTTGTACATAATGTCTGTGGCTTTAAAGATCAGCAATAATTAGCCACTTTCACTTCAACCGAGAGTGGACTCAAGGCCGTGCCTAGAGTTAAATTGTCAACTGTCTGTGCTTCACTGAAGTGCCTAATTAAAGGGAAAAGGTTGTGTGTGGGGGAGGGTCTGCTGTCCAAATAAGGTGCTCTGCCAAAAGGAAGGGTGCCTTTATTCTCTCTTTCTCTCTCAGTCTCCCCCAGTCGTCCCATTCTCCCTCCACACCCTCTCTTCCTCCCTCCCTCTTCTCTTCCTCCTCCCCGCCCCTCGCCCCCGCACCTTAGTTCTTTTTATTTTTTCATCAAAGTCATCTATGCTGGCCAAGCTCTGTGCTCTGAAGGCTGATTCCTTTTCTAGTTTTCACACATACAACTTTTCCAGTAATGACTCTGTATAAGAATTTTCAACAAACAAAGCTTTTCAGGAAATGTTTATTCCAAGTTAAAGCAAGAATGCTGACCTGTATTTACAGAGTATCTAGGTAGTCATAATGAATTCTACTGACACTCTTTGTTCATAATTACCAACAATGCTGTTCTGGTTAGATACGATGTTAACCAGTGTGATTTGCAGAAATGACATGGAAATAGAGATTTAGCTATTTACTCTTAAAAACAGAGAGTGTGATAAACAGCTGATTTTAGAAGCTGAACTTAGGTTTGTCTTTACTTTCTGGTAAACTCAGTCAGCTTCAGTTTCCTCTCAGGTCAGATTCAACTCCTTCTCAGTGTTCTCATGCTCCGTTCTCCTGGGTGTTATGGAGGGGTTAAAAGGAAACTTAGAGGGCATCCTGACTCCAAGTTCAGAGATGGAGGGAATTTGGTCCTTACCATCTTGTCCTGACATCAGCAATATAAAAGTCTTACTGGCTAGTCATTGAATATCAAGGGGCTCTCCCCATCAAATTTCATGTAGCCCCTAAAGGACACAGCAGAACATCCTTAAGGCTTTCTAAATTCCAGTGAAAAGTCACTAAAGTAGCTGAGATAGGACAGGAATTTAGGAGGAAGTTTAAGTCTTGAGTAAAGTGTGTGTTTTCTGTCTGTCGCCACCACCAGCTGAGGAAAACTGAATTTATTCTTTATTGGTTATTAACACTGGCTAGGCAGATTTTCTCCAAAAACTATGGTTTGTATCAGAACAATAGAATCAAAACAAAATAAAATAAAATATCTAAAACAAGAGTATGTTGGAAAAAATAGATGAACTTTCTTTTCCTTGCATTCAGGGTATAGCAACCCCACCCAGTGTGCAGTGAGCTTAGAAAGCTTTAGCATTGGAAATTAGGTGAAGGTAATGGAGTGAGGCGACCTGGGTTAATATGGCAAACTATCAGCCTATTGTACCTGATGAGGAAAAGCTAGCATTAGCTCTGATGGAAACAATCTAATTTGTGATTTTGTGGGCAAGTTCAAATTTTACATAATGAGTTAAGAAGTTGTTCTAAAACTCATATTGTACCTTGGAAATTTTGAGATGAAAAATTATAATTGTTTTGAGATATCTCTGTATTTCTGAGTGAAGTAGTGTTTAGGGGATAGAAAGGAATAAGTCAGGTAAGAAAATTATAATTGTCCTTCCTTCTCGTGTAGGTCTTTAAGTCAGGAGTATATTAATTAGTTGAAATCAACATCACAGCTATCTGAAAGACCATTATTTCAATTAAAGTTCACAAAACATTCCAAAATAAAACAATTTTTGGCTACTCTGTCATTATGAACTATTCATGCCTCTGCCTTCTTCCGTAAATGCAGATGAAGAAGAATTGACTGAACATGACATTGGATTCATTTATGCAAGTTCAAACACCTGACATGCAAAAAAAAAAAAACATGGCAAATACCCACTCACTGTGTCAAGAATTACCCCCTGGGGTACCCCATACCCCACGATTATTAAATTATGTGTAATGTATCTAAGCACTGTTTGCTTAACTCGTGACAAACACTCTTCAAAATGGCTGGCCTACATGGTCATTCAGAGTTAGCATTTTAATAATTCACACACATGCATATACATATATATGTATACTTACATATATATACGTAGAGAATAAATACATAGAGAGTACATACACACATATACGGCGGGGGAGGTGGAATACTATCTTAAACAGTTAAGCAGGAGGTTACTTCCTAGGGATCGGTCCTTGCAATTAGAAATATTTCTATTTTTAATAGTTTTCTTTTCTCTCTCAAGGTTATGGGGTGTGTCTGAATACAAATTAATAAACTTTAGGCTCTTCCAGTGTTTTCTGGCTTTTTCACAACTCCCAGGTGCCTATTAATGCATCTTCAACATACATGTCCCCCAGTCTGGCATTAGCAAACCACCTTGATTGCATCTCAGCATTCTATACATTTCAAGTCATATGGTGGAGGATTGGGGATTGGGGTGGGTATAAGGCATGACATCATTAGATACAGTGTTGTACAGATGGAAATAGCAAAGGAATGACGATGGTGTTTCTAAATATAGCTGTCTACGTGGTTTATGTGAGTTCTGACTTTTCAATTTAGGAAAATTATTGACCCAGATTATAATGATCACTTCCTCTCAATTACATGATACTTTCAAAATACCCATTAGTTGTTTGTTTACTGACTTGATAATGTTTTCAAATTGAATAAAATTAAAATTGAAGATTTCCTCAATAATATGCCTTACTTAATATTATTGTATGTTTTCTCCTCAGAAATAATCCTTTTATAATGAACTTGTGATTATCTTCCGTGAGATGGTATGGTGAAAATACTTCATGCTAGTGCATATTGAATTGTCATTGACTCAATTAAGTGGTTATGTGGAAGTAAATAATCTTTATTTATTCTGACCAAGCAGGAAATGATGAAGTGTTTATTGCACTCAGTGAATTACATTTTTCCTCTTAGAGTAGGTATGAACTGGCAACCAAGTGACAAAGTGATAAGGCAATAAAGTCTTTCTCTCATCTGAAACTGCT
Source organism: Homo sapiens (assembly GCF_000001405.40). NCBI lineage: Eukaryota > Metazoa > Chordata > Mammalia > Primates > Hominidae > Homo > Homo sapiens. The sequence continues at coordinate 36,292,773 of NC_000023.11, forward strand.
GTCTTCACCCTGTAACTTTCAAGTAAGGAGGCAGGCTGAATTAACTGGAGACTTTTAAATTCCTTTTGAGTTAGATTTTTACAAAGTTGCTTTATTATTTAGTTAAAAGTTGTGATTATCCAAAATATCAGACATATCAATAATTATATATAATATGTAATATGTAATGTACAATATGTAATACATAATATATAATGTATAATATGTATATACATATACACAAACACTAAATCATCTCATAAATTGCACATTTTATTTTCTAATGAGTATTTACTGGGTATCTCTGATATTCCTGCCACTGTTCTAGATGCTAAGGAACAGTGATGAACAATACAAGCAAGGCCCCTATTTGCATGGAGCTACCATTCTAGTGGAGTTAGAAAACGAATAAAATAACTGAAATAGGATGTTTCCTGGGAAGTTCTCCTTTTATCCTGGATTTTCAAATGAAGTCACAAACCTGGGAACTGTAGATAATTATATTTCCATATTATGAAAGTGGTTGCTGTCCTGTTTATTTAAGACTCTCTAAATATAGTATTCAGAGTATATCTAGCTGATACAGCAAATAAACCCTAAATTTGCAATGGCTAAACACAGTAAAAGTTTTTAACAATTGTAACATTCTAGTGAATGTGTCCCTGGTTGGTGGGTGGCATACTCTGTGTTGTGATTCAGGGAGCAAGGCTCGTTCCATCTTGTGATTCCTTCCTTTTTAGGGACTCAGAGGTTCCTACGTATAGCTGGAGAAAAAGAAAGCAGAGAGAAGAGAATTTCCAATAGTTTTAATGGCCTTGACACACAGGTGACACATCACTTTCACTCACATACAATTGGAGAAAACTAGTGACACAGCCATGCCCAGGTGAAAGAGGGTCTGGGAAATGGAATCTCTAGTTGGACAGCCACTGCCAAGTGACATCTTCATGCCAAGAAAGGAGAACATAGGATTTTAATGGAGACATGATGTTTCTGGCACATCAAGGGAGGGGAGGAATCTTTAGCCCATCACCCATTTACAGCTCATATCTGTGATGGCCAGAACAAAAAGACAGTGGGAGTGTCTTCTTTAAGGAGGGGAAGCTGATAGTTTAATGCCCCTGGCTCTTGGTGAGTTCCTACCAACAGAATGGACCACAGAGGGAGGGAAGGTGGTTAGAGTGAGAGCAAGATGCACTTTCATCGGCACAAGTCAAGATGTAGTGGGCCAAAGTGAATTTGACATAATGAAATAAGGCTAAGCTTGAGCTTATTTGAAAGGACCCAGAGCAAGAAACATTCTTCTAGGGTGAGAAGACTCCAGGAGAGTCTACATGAGGGTAATTCAAGATAGAAGAAGGCAAAAGGAACTTATATAGTCACCTGGATAAGATCAGGTAGCACCAATTAAGTAAGTGGGTATTGTTCTTCTACCTGTCATCTCATTTCATCCTGCAACCTGAAAGAGCCAGCCACGTCAGCACCATGATCATAAGAGAGGAAGCTGGAGCAGAGGGTTGAAAAGAGCAGGACATGTTTACCTCCTTCCTCACAGGCAGTGTGCAAAATTCCCAGACAGGCCTGAGGGTGAGGATGAGGTGCCAGAAAGAATCAGGAGAAGACTTCAATTGCCATGTGAGAAGAAAGTGTTGATTGATTTGAGATTTCTATAAATACCTCAAAATTAGACTCTTCTGGCACTGGGAGCCAGCAGTTTGGGAGACCGAGGCAGGCCGATCAGGAGGTCAGGAGGTCGAGACCATCCTGGCTAACACGGTGAAACCCCGTCTCTACTAAAAATACAAAAAAAATTAGCCAGGCATGGTGGCAGGCGCCTGTAGTCCCAGCTACTCGGGAGGCTGAGGCAGGAGAATGGCCTGAACCCAGGAGGCGGAGCTTGCAGTGAGCCGAGATCATGCCACTGCACTCCAGCCTGGGCGACAGAGTGAGACTCCATCTAAAAAATAAAATAAAAATGAAAATAAAAAATAAATAAATATGTATGTGTATAAATATATATATAAATGCTGAAAATATCTAATATTTGTTTTAAAAGTGTGTAGGTATTCAAACTTCCTCTGAAAAGCTTTATAATTTGCAAAATTCAATACAACTGTTTTTATATATTTTAAAAGAGTATTCCTCTTCTACATGAGTGGTTAAATGTTTTAATTATTTTCAATTTCAGCATCTTGTGAATGTCTTTTCTGTTTTAAAATTTTTGCTTGTATTTCACGGGATTAAATATGCATTGTTTAGTCCTCTTGTAAAGGAGTCTGAGAAATGGAAGCAATTTCTTTAAACAGCCATTATGTTTGCCACAATATTTCTAAGTACCAGCCAGAAAAAATATTGGGATACCTTATAAAATAATGCTTTCCATCATTAAACCGAAAAGAGCGCATGTGAAGATGAAAGAAGGCTTTAGAAGTCATCATGTAATGTTCAGCCATTACTGTTTTACTTGAGTTTCAAGAAAAAATCAGTCAAAACTGATTTATGTTTAATTCTGAACACAAATTAACTTTAAAAGCCTACTCATGAAAGTGGAGGAATATGCCATTTGCAAAACAGACACCAACCAAGTATTTCAAACGTTTTTATAGCGTATTCACAGAATTCAGTGGACTGTGTACTTCTCATTTAGTAAGAGTTCTTTATAAAATAAAATGGAATGGGAGGTGGCAGGATAACTTAGCCAAAACAATTAATCTTGTTTTAAATATAATCTTAATGTTTTATTTTGTATGTTATTTTCTCAAAATGGTTATGCATTTCTGTAATCATATAGCTAACCTAAGAAAGTTGTTTCAAGAATAAACATCAATTTTGATCGTCTTATAAAATGATGGATAACATAAGTTTCTTCTCTTTAACTTAGTGAACATATCAAATACTTTAAAAATGTAATTTTACAACCTTAAGAAATATTGATATTTAGAAAAGTAATCTTCCCTAAAATTTTGAAGATATTTTGGCAGGTGGATATTTAAAATACAAATTATTCATTATGTTAAAGGTGTCATTTAAGATTTTTTTCTGTTTAAACCTAGAAGAAAATAATATCCAAACAATAATGTAATTTAGAAATCATTTTTGTAATATTATAGTTACATTTGAGATACTTTCTACCATCCTAGAAATATAGTACAGTTAATTAGAAACTTAAAGCTTTTGACTATAGTGAAACATTTATTTCTATTGAGTCTTGCTATTTTCAAAACTCTGAATAATTTGATTCCAGAGATTTTCAAGAGATTGCAGTACTGGTAGCGCTAAGCATTCAACAATTGCTCTCTGGAAGGCTGCTCTGTAAAGGATTTTGAGGATGTGTCCAGATCTACTGAATAAGAGTGAAATGATCAGTTAATAGTATTTGCCATGGATATTGCAAGGATGCCAAGGAGGAGCTGTGATTTAAGTACTCCATAGACACCATCCGTATCTCCCACTCTTAAGATCTGGCCAACTGTAGAATATTATGACACTTTTGTACCACGAGAGCATGGTCTTGTTAGATAGGTTGTAGTTTACAGAGAAAATAGTAGGTTTAATGTGATTTTGTTTCATTTTGTTTTCAAGACTTATATATGTAATAAGACTTCAAGTAGTTCTATATTCCAATATTTATTCCTCTTTAGACCAGAATCTAAATCTAAATTTAATGTGTAGGTCACAACATGTGAGTGGCTCAACATGTGAGTGGGAAATAGAATAGAATAAAAGGTAGTAGAAAGTATCAGAAAATATTACATGTGGTAAATGCAGGGATTGTTTTGTAAAACTTTTGTGATATGCGTATGTGAACCATATTGTGATATAAAACAAATTATTGTGGGTTGTGGTTAAAACATTTTGAAACTCAGTGGTTTAGATTCTAGCATTTTTACTTCTATGACAGGCTATAACATTCTGTTGAACGGACACTGATCTTCTCTGAATAATGTCTGAGTAGTAGACCAGGACAAATGTCTAGGCCAAATGTGTCATTTCCATCTTCTGTCTTATGCCCTGAGTAAAATCTCTAGGCTCATATTGGGTTGATAGTATGTGTTACCTTGGCATACCCTTTTTTCTAGTGGTTGTTATTTTTGACCATTGGAAATTATTTAGTGGCCAAGTCCTCTATCAACTTTATAAAATATGCCAGGTTACCCAGGAAATTAGTCACTGTTCAGTATTTTACATTTTACACTTTTATTTTTCCTTCTTTATAATTATAAGCGTTGAATATTTTGCTGTAGAAGTTTAAATGCCCACTTATTTTAAGAATTCATAATTCTAATGTCTCCTGAAACCATTGTAGAAGACTATTTTTCATTGCATTTATAATCAACACTGATTTCTAATAAGTGATATCTGCTCTAATCTAATTGTTAATTTGTATATATTCTTAGTTTCCATCTTTCTTCACCAGATGTTGTTCACCACACTAAATGTTGTTTCCATTCCTCTAAAATGTAGCATCCTTCCAACTCATTTATTTATTAGAGGTGATCAGGCAAATATTCTGAGCTATGTCCTCTGAAACAGCCATAGACAAAGCTGTAATATCTGCCTTGAAGATATGTTCCCAGAAGCTTAGTAAGAATTTTTTGTCACCCCTGTAACATGATTTGATAAATTTCATAACAGCTCCATGTTCTAAAGTACGTTTATTACCAAGCTTTGATTTATAATTGAAATGCTCAACCTTCTCCATTTCTTTAGGTTAAAACATTTAGGCAACTGGAATTTGTTAAAATTGAGATGTGTCCTGTCTACTAATTATCTTTACTACATTTGCTTCAATTATAGCTTTTGACGTAGTGGAGATCATGGCTGAAATGGGATGCTTTATAAGTCATTAGCCAGGATGGGTCAGTATGAGGATCAGGAAATATCTTAGAACTTAAAGAGTGCCTTCCAGGGCTAAGACAATGTACCTTGGGGGAAGGACAGGACGAACAAGAACAGAAGGAAGAAATCTAAACAGAAAGATGTATCATCAACATAATTTGACTTTTTAGTTTAGATTGTCCCTGCTACTTGATGCTAAGATACGTTGCTACTTTAAGTGTTTCCTTTGGATCAGCAGCAGCAGCAGCATCATGTGGAAACTTTTTAGAAATATAAATTTCAGACCCCATCCCAGAGCTACTGAATCTCTGGGATGAAGAAAGGCTGTCGGGGAGAGGTGGATAAAAATCTGTCTTTTACACTGTTGGTGGGACTGTAAACTAGTCCAACCATTGTGGAAGTCAGTGTGGCGATTCCTCAGGGATCTAGAACTAGAAATACCATTTGACCCAGCCATCCCATTACTGGGTATATACCCAAAGGACTATAAATCATGCTGCTATAAAGACACATGCACATGTATGTTTATTGCGGCACTATTCACAATAGCAAAGACTTGGAACCAACCCAAATGTCCAACAATGATAGACTGGATTAAGAAAATGTGGCACATATACACCATGGAATACTATGCAGCCATAAAAAACGATGAGTTCATGTCCTTTGTAGGGACATGGATGAAATTGGAAATCATCATTCTCAGTAAACTATCGCAAGAACAAAAAACCAAACACCGCATGTTCTCACTCATAGGTGGGAATGGAACAATGAGATCACATGGACACAGGAAGGGGAATATCACACTCTGGGGACTGTTGTGGGGTGGGGGGAGGGGGGAGGGATAGCATTGGGAAATATACCTAATGCTAGATGACGAGTTAGTGGGTGCAGCGCACCAGCGTGGCACATGTATACATATGTAACTAACCTGCACAATGTGCACATGTACCCTAAAACTTAAAGTATAATAATAAAAGAAAAAAAAATCTGTCTTTTAGCAGACTCTGCTGGTGATTCTTATGTGCAATAAAGTTTGAGTACCATTCCTAGAGTAAACACTGAAAAATGGACCTCATAGAAATAATGATACCAGTGAAAAATATATTTTAAATGTAATTTTACAAATAGTTTTCATCCATTTAGTTACATGGATCTCTGTGTGGTATTTGCTGTTGAAAAAAAATAAGGTTACAATTTATCAAGGCTAATGAAAGAAAACATATAAGAGATTCAAAGCTAGTGAGATATATTCAATAGTGTATCAAGGTAAAAAAATAAAACAAATGGCCTTATATTATGTAATAATTTCCTTTACATTTCCTTTCATAGTATAATGACTCCATGCTGACACTAAAAGTTGATTACATATTTGTTGTATAATTCTAGGACAGCACTTGCATTGAAATACCTCTCTCTAATCCAAAAGATAGAGGTCTTCACTTAGAGGTGCAGTTAACGAGTGCTGCCCTTAATGGGGATAATGAAATTATCCTGAGTCCACTACAGTGCACCAAATATATTGTATGGTATTCTCCAGCAACTACAGGCTACAGCGATGAAAGGTATGGTTTGAGTGTGGCATTATATTTCATTGTTGATCCTTAGAAATTAACCTTTAAAATTTATTTTTTCTTATACTATAATCATTAAAATTACACTTGCTCATAGTTTTAACTTTGTTTAATACTAGTCCCTGAAAAAATGTACTGACTTACAGTTAGCTTTTGCTTGCTTCAGTGCAAAAATAGTATTTATCAGAATATCAAATTAAATAATTTCTACATTTCTCCTTTTATCCCCTTTCACTTCACTTTTTACTAAGTAAATCTTTATGGATGCAAAAACTGAACAAATGAAAACAGTTGCATGAGGACTAGGGATTAAACTTTCAATTTTCTTGAGGAAAATTAACTTATATATTTTTCTTCTTAAATACAAATAATTCACTTGGAGGACATAAAGGAATTAAAGTAATTAATTACAGTCATAATGTCCTACAATACATATCTTGAACTTATTTCTGCTAACTGAAATTTTGCATCCATTGACCAGTCTCTCCCCAAAGTTTGTGTCCCCTCCACCTCCCAGCGCCTGGTAACAATAATCATTATACTTTCTGCTTCTGAGTTCAATTTTTAAAAATTCTGCATATAAGTGAAATTTGTCTTTCTGTGCCTGGCATATTTTATTTAATGTAACATCCTTCAGAATAACTCTTATTGGTGCTTCAAGTACAGTATCCTACAATAGAAACCAGTAATTGTTATTTTAATGAGTCAGTAAATAAATGAATACATCTGTGAAATTTTAAAGGACAAAAATTATTATTCTGCGAAGCATGAAAATAAGAATATAACATGAAAGATACTATTCTGAAAAAATTATTATTAGAAATATGGGCTGGTCTTTTTGCCCCAATATGACTGCACAAGCTTTGTGAACATATACTGAATCTTGAATTTTCTTTATCAGCATACATTAAAAAAATTTTTGGCTAATACTTACTGTCTGCCTACTCTGTTATCATCATTGGGGCGTGTATTTTACATATATAAACATAAAATTCTCATAGTAACTGTAAGAGGTAAGATTGATTCCTCCTATTTTATAAATGAGAAAATTGAAGCTCAAAAAGTTAAGTGACTTTTTCAAGACTGCACAAATAAAAGATGACAGAGCTGAGATACCATCCCAGTTATACTTATTTTTTTTTTTTTGAGACAGAGTCTCACTCTGTCACCCACGCTAGAGTGCAGTGGCGTGATCTCAGCTCACTGCAACCTCTGCCTCCCAGATTCAAGCGATTCTCCTGCCTCAGCCTCCCAAATAGCCGGGATTACAGGTGACCGCCACTACACCCAGCTAATTTTCTGTGTTTTAATGGAGACGGGGGTTCCACCATATTGGCCAGGCTGGTCTCGAACTCCTGACCTCGTGATCCGCCTGCCTCGGCCTCCCAAAGTGCTGGGATTACAGGCATGAGCCACCACGTCCGGTCCCCAGTTATACTTGTTTAGACTGTCACAAGCTCTGCTTCCCTGGGAGTTGAGGATGTGCTGATCATAAAGGAAGTTCTCTAGAGCTATATGTCACTTGATAGCATTCACATGAAAATGCACATGCATTCAACTAAAACTAAATTTGACTTAGTCACAGTTAAAAAGCAGGGCTTTTACTGTTCCACCTTCTGCAAGATATTTAAAATACTCATGTTTAAACATTTTTATTGATCCAACAGGCATTTATTAAACAGATATTAATGACAACAACACTGCTTTTCTTGAATAATGAAGTGATTTTCTCAACCAAAAATGAAGAATTAAAAATACATCTACAAAAAGAGTAGTATGTGTTACAGAGTAGTTGTCAAATGTTGTATTTAAAACCAACTATTTATACTAGTTTGGGGTATACTACTTCTGCCCAATTTATTACACAAACTAAAACTGCTGACAAAATTTTGTGTATTTCTCTCCACCAGCATTATTTTTCAGCCTGAAATGGCTGAAGAGTTCTGGTATTTACTGAAGTTAACTATTGAATTACCAAAACCAACCACAATGCCAGAAATACAGTGCGACCTTGGCAAGTAAGTTCTACTTAATAGATAAAGTTATTGCTTGCAAGAAAAATAGTTAATCTATTACAATGTTGTTATAATGCATTCAGTTTCTAAAATAAAGAATAAATATATCTTTAGTCATTGATTTTTTTTCCCCTAGGGAAGGTTTGATATGTAAACTACCCTGTGGAAAACTTGTCAAATAAAAACAAATCAGGACTTAGCAAGGAAAGAGTGTTATTCAAAAGGATTATTACAAGGGATAAAAAGGGACCATTGCAATAGGGAAAGACTCCCATCTTAGAAGTCTACAAGGGTTTACAAAATCAAACAGAAAAAAGTTCATCTTTTATAAAGTAAAGGAAGGTCAAGCAGATATAGACAGAATCTTTGGAGGGAAAGCTGGACAAGCAAGGGAAAATGGCCAGTGATGTCTAACAGGAAGAGTTTTACTGTGGTCAGCTAATTCCCAGGAGAAGCTGACAAAGGGTCATGTTACTTTGTGTGTCTGCATGCTTGTTTAGGCTTAGGGACAAGCAGAGTTCAGGGGCTGGTGGGAAGGAGAGAAACCTGGCAAACTTTCCTCAAGGTGAAGCAGAGGTAAGCAATGAACAACTGTGAACATTTGGTCAGTGGGTTAATGCCGTGATCCCTTGAGATATGACCATTCCTATTTAGGTAGTTGAGTTCCTACTATTTATCAAGTTTGGTGCTGGTAAATAGGGGTAAACAAGGCATAATCCCTACTTTTAAAGAGTATACACCGTAGTGAGCAAATTAGTGCCTTTTAACTAATTTCTCTCCCTTATCACATCAAAAGAGTGTTGCATTCTTCCAGTACCAGCTCTTTAGCCAAAACAATGACATTTGAAATTTTTTTCTTACAGTAGCATAGATATCTAGTATGAAAATATTTTATTCCTATTTTTCTAAGGTATTGTTTATGAGAAAACTTGGGAAATTGGTAATATACGAAGCAGATGCTTACCAAAAAATGATGGGAAATCTGTCATGATTTTTAGTGTATTTTATTCACTATAATTAATGAAGTTTTGGTTATTTTCATTGAATTTCTTCATATGTCCCTGGTGAAAGAACAAATTCATGATTTACAGAGACTTGTTAAATTTGTAGTCTAGAATCACAAAACTGACATATAATGTTCTTTTTAAGGTGAATCATTTTATACATATACTTTATATAAAAACAAGAAAATGGTGCTTTATTTGAATTATATAATTTGAATTTATGAACTGAATTCTGCTCAGCACATATTACCTAATTTTCCTCTGTCACAAGGCCATGACATTGTGAAAAACAATATATGTATGGTGATGATTCCATTCTTTTTATTACAGATTTGCTACCTAAATATTTTAATCTTACTCTATATTGTAAGCAAGAAACAGTAAAGAGATATGAAAAACTGTACATAGATAAAATTATGTTATTATGTTATACTTTACAGAAAGAATGAAGATGACAAGCTGGATGCTGTACATTAAAAACCATTAGAATTGATAGTTGAGAATTATGAACACTCATTTATTATTTGTTTAGAGCATAAATAGTCACATATTTTGGGCATTTACTCATCATCAATTTGGATCTTGTTAATGTTCTCAATGAAAACTTCGTGCATTTATTACTCTGTTATTACGACTAGACTGTGTTAGCTTTTTTGGCTGGATTTAGCATTATAAAACAATAAGTAAACATTATTCCTAAAACTGGAATATATTCTAATATCTAATATGGGATAACATTAGGTCTCAAAAATAGAGAACCAAGGATTAAAATGTCATTAGTTCATACATAATTATTTTGAGTTTGAAACTAAAAGAAGTCATTATATTAGCTTCCTAGGGTTGCCATTACAGGCATCATAAACTGGGTGGCTTAAGACCACAAAAATGTATTGTCTCACAGTTCTGAGGCTAGAAGTTTAAAATCAAGGGTTCACCATGACCATGCTCCTTCTGAAACCTGTAAGGGATAATTCCTTGCCTCTTTTAGCTTCTACTTCTTCTTCTTCTTTTTTTCTATGTTTTAGAGACAGGGTCTTGCTCTGTCACTGAGGCTGGAGCGCAGTGGTGCAATCATGGCTCACTGCAGCCTCAAACACCTGGGCTAGAGCGATCCTCCTGCCTCAGCCTCCCAAGTATGTAGGACTACAGGCAAGCTACCATGCCTGGCTATTTTTTAAATTTTTTGTAGAGACAGGTTCTTACTGTATTGCTCAGGCTTGTCTTAAACTCCTGGCCTCAAGTGACCCTCCAGACTCAGCTTCCCAAAGCATTGGGATTACAGGCATGAGCCACTGTGCCTGGTCTTTTTTAGCTTCTTCTGCTTGCCAGCAACGTTTGGCTTTCTGTGACTTGAGATACATCACTCTAATCTCTACTTCCACTGTTATATGGCCATCTTCTGTGTATCTTCACATGATTCTATTTACAAAGACACCAGTCATACTGGATTAAGGGCCTGTCTTATTCCAGTAAGACGTTATCTTAACTAGTTACATATGCAGTGACTCTATTTCCAGATAATATCACATTCTGAAGTACTAGGAATTAAGACTTCAATATATCTTATGGGGTGACATATTTTAATCCTAGGGGTCATCAAGTTTATGGAATTAACACTAAATAAGTTTATGAATACCAGCAACTTTACTAGCTTTTTTTTTCTCCTAGGCATGTCACTCAGATCATTCCTTTAGTTAATTGTACGCATGAAACCTTAAAATTGCAAGTAACAAACAGTAATCCTGAAAATTTTGTCCTGGATATTAACAGAAAATCACAAGTAAGTAAATTCAGAGAGCCATGAAATTTACTGCTGCTAGATCATTTTCCAATTCTGATTTTGGGACACTGGTGGAGTATTATCACTTGAATTATTACTAAGGATTTAAATTTCTAAAATTTAAGAATTGAATTTTATAGGCCCAGCGGGGTGGCTCATGCCTGTAATCCCAGCACTTTGGGAGGCTGAGGCGGGCAGATCACTTGAGGCCAGGAGTTTGAGACCAGCCTGCCCAACATGGCAAAACCCCGTCTCTACTAAAAATACAAAAATTAGCCAGACGTGGTGTCACGTGCCTGAAATCCCAGCTACTCGGGAGGCTGAGGAATGAGAATCACTTGAACCCAGGTTGCAGCGGTTGCAGTGAGCTGAGATCGTGCCACTGCCCTCCATCCTGGACGATAGAACGAGACTCTGTCTCCAAAAGTAATCAAAAAAAAAAAAAAGGATTTTCTTTTATATACTTCTCCCCTTGAATTTTAATTTATCTACAAAACAATATCATGTTAATATAAATTTTTAAAATTATATATGCTAGAATCATGCTCATGATTACTTCATTCTAATAAATTGGTTGCGTTTTCTTTCTCACCATTTTAGTAATCGGTTTTTGTAATAGTTTCCAGTATTATGATTATTAACTCTATTGTCATTATATGTTGCCAGGGTTCCAAGGGACCAGTTGTTTTCTAGCCTTTCCTGAGTTCTTGCCCATCCCCCATTCCTCACCCCTGACACAGACACACACTTTGAGACAATGCTGACAACTCTAGCCCTCTCTGCTTCTTTCTCTGCCCAACTTTCTCATTCTTAGATCCTGGCAGAGGCTAGGTCCAGTCAATGATACTAAATCACTCTTCTCCTTCCTGCAAGTTACAAAATAAGATCCTAAGGTTTAGCATGACTATCTCTGTTTCTAAAGCATAGGACACCATTTATTTGCAGTGAGTGTCATACTTTCAGGTAACCATCAAAATGATAATTACAATAGACTGTTTTTATCAAGGGACTTCAAAGTAAATCATGAAGCCCTGCTAGTAGATATAGTATTTAAATAAAGGCTTTTACTATTTGTTGTTTAACGATTGTTTAACAAATCTACACTTTGATTTCTTTATTTATATCTTAACATCTGTCTCTTGTCAGTTACTGGTTGCCAACTTATGTAATGATATAAAAGTAGTTCTTAGCTATCATAATATGTCAAATTAGAAATCACTAATTACTATATTGCTAAAATTGGTGTATATGCTTTAATCTTAGAAAGCGTATATTAAAGTGTACACACATTATTATATCATTCAATACCACATTTTTCCATAAATTATATGAAGTCTGATATTCAGGATATAATTTATATATTACTGAAATTCCTCATTAGAAAGTGGTGTTTTTGTATCCTTTATATCTCTACTTTTAGAGAACAGTCTAATCTGTGGTCCAAGGGAAAATAAATGTAATATTTTGCACATCCAAAGTTACATTACATAATCAAGAATATAAACTCTGTTTTAACATTTCCAACCATGGCTTTCTAGTCCATTAATTCTTCTATTCATTTATCAAACATTATTGAGCACTGAATATGCAATTAACTCTAATATTAGAAAACAACTCAAAAAGCTATTTATGAGAAAAATACTATCACATTTTAGAAAACAAATAGGAGCACACATTAATTATAATGATAATAAATGAAAAATATATAGAGAGAAATATCCATCTATTTATATCCATGGAGAGAATAAACTATTTTTCCAAATTTTCTAAGTTGAAAGACTATATAAAATGCAATTTTACTTATTATTTTTGCTAAGTCTGACAGTGAAATTAATTAATAATCCTAAAGTGTATATTAACTGATAATCCTGAAACATTCAAGATATCAGAGAGCAAGCCAGCCTGAGATAAAAATATTAGATGTAGATAAGCTACAATTGTGTAATAAACAGGTGACTGTGTTCTAAATATAAAATTTAGTTTGCATTTGCATTTCATAAATAATTATCACAGTTTATTGGGCATCAACTGCTGTATTCAAGAAGGATTGAAAGATACTGCTTAATTGTAATTTTGCCTTTTCAAAGTTTTTCTGGCAAAATATATTAGTGTAAAATAATAGACTTCCTTTTCATACATGTGCCACTCATGCTATCATTTTGTAAGTGTTTATCTTCAAATTAAATTATTTCCAGTGTAGCATTTTGATTACATAATATACTCAAGCCCTTATTATATTGTGTTGGAGTCACTGGCTTCTTTCACAGTCTCTAAAGAAGTAACTTAAACTAATACTGTACAGACTCAAGTTATCCTAGCAGGTCACACCTTGAATGTGTAGGAGGAAGAGGAAAATTTCCTTGCACATTAAAGAAGCATGTCTTACACCTTTGCTTAGAAACAGTTCATTTCTTTTGAAATGAACAAAAGTAACAAATTAAGTTACAGGTGGTTTGACATGTACCTTGGGATGGGCAATATGCTATGGGATCTTACATAAAGTGTATATGTCTTTTATTGAAGGTTCGAACTGAGCTTTAAAAATTAACCCTGACTTCCTTGTACAGAATGAGTCCTCCAAGTGGTGATTATCTTGGATAAGAACATGATGTGATCACCCCCAAACACGGTTTAACATGGGCCCTTTGAACAATATTCAAGGAGCAGGCATACTGAGAACAGATAATGTGTGCAAGACAACACATTAATCACACAAACATCGACCCTGCATATAGCTAGTACACAAAGATACCAACTCAAGCCAATTGGGTATTAATTTTTGTTCCCCCTTTGCTTTTTCCATTTACACAGCTGATCATATCTCCTCACTCCACCACAGAATTACCTGTTCTCTTTTATCCTTCTGCACTTGGAAGAGCTGATCATCAAGCTTGCATCAACTTCTACTGTACTCAGGTATGATAGAGTATTCTTGGACCAAACCAAGTTAATTAAATTTTAAATCAATATATAAATAAATATAATTCATCATTCACTCAATTATCATATTTTGCAAGTAAAACAAGTTAATTATAAGTTAATTAAATGATTTTTGTAAAATAAAATATGCATTATGTACATGCAGACATCTGAAGAAGGTATTTTTAAATACATAGATCAGTGGAATAAAGACAAATATATACCCAGATTTAAAACACAGATATTTCAATGTACATATCAAATCACTGGCATTTATGTTAATTTTCTGACTTGAGTTTTACTACTCAACTTTCCATAAACTTAAATATAAAATATAGAGTGCAATTTGTAAATATTTGTTATTTTTTCCACTGCATTTCATCTGAACAGTGTTCCTAAATATTAATTTTTAAAAACAATAGTTTTTCGCTTTTGACAATCTCTAAATATGTCCCATATCATTCTAAGAATTATCCCAATTCATTCTCACCGTAGTCCTATAATGGAAGTACTGTTATCAATCCTACTTTATGCATCAGGAATCTGAGACACAGAGAAATTAAAATCAGGCAGCCAGTAAAAGGTTGAGGTGTGACCTGAATCCAGGATAATCTGGTTTCAACTCATCTTCATGTCTACTTTTCACAGCTACTTAGTTAGCCAAGTGATTGTTAACTCTCTTACTACCAATTAAAATTTTATGTAAAATTTTACCATTTATATTATTTTTACTTCTTCAAATGTTCATGGGGAGGAATGCAAATGGAGGAATGTACTTTATATCTTAGAAGACATCAAGGAGCTTACAAAACCCTGACATCTGAGGGGCAGTGGAATCAAATATAATACAGGCGTCTCCATGTCAGTACAGGGCCTATGGGTAGCTGAAGTATCTTCATTTCCAAAAAATTTGTAATTTATTTTTAGAAAATTTGTTTTGAGGCTGTTAACTTGTCTAAATATGGTAATGACTAACTAACACTTTACCTGAGACAAATGCTATAGAAATATGCTTCTTTTTCAAAAATATTAAAGGAGACAAACAGTGATCCTTCTCATACAGAAGGAAATATATAATGGAGATTATTTTCTTTCAGACAAGTAATTTTAACAAAGCTGTTCTTTTAAGCGATTGCTGCATAGCAGGATTAGAACCCCTTCATCATAATTATTGGGGGCAATTTTTTTGCTTGCATTTCTGGTGGAAAGCATATCTATTCAAGGGCAGTCTTAGAACTCAGCAGGGAGATAATCAGTTCTGTATCTTAATAGCTTTAAAAATTCCTAGCCTAGAAGTTGAATGTTAAATTCTTTATCAAACACAAAAAGGCTCAAACAAGAAAATATTATCAATTCAAACCTTCTATGAGTCAGTTGAACACTGATGGTTAATTTCAGTCACTCTGAGTATCTCCTTCCAACTTGTAGCAAATCTATAAGGATTCAGCCATGATTAGACTTCAATCAATAATTCATGCTTTCAGCTATCAGGTCTAGACCTCCTCAACCTTCTCAATATATTGCTGTAACCTTTGTGATTTTTCTTGCCATATTTATCATTGAATCATTTAGTTCTTCCTCTTTTATTTAATTCATCCAGTTGACATCTTTTGCAAGAAAAACTAGTTCATCATAAAGTATTAATTGAATGAACTTTTGAAAATGTGGTATGCATTATGTATGAACAGGCATCTAAAGAAAATATTTTTTAAAATAAACTTTAGAGTTTATTTTTCTAAGTCTGAGTTTGGAATAACATTTACCATTAGGGAAATAGCCATATAGATTTCCATCCCTCTCTTGATTTAACTGATTAAATCTATCTAAACTGACACACACAGCTGATTAGCTGATGAATCTAAAGCCAACTAATGGCTGTTCTTATAGGGTAAACTTTATTTCTGATGGTACCTCTTTGCTGGATTGAGGGAAATGGCTATGGTTCATTATCTGCTTCATTTGTTTCTGGTTTCAATTCATGTGAAAAACTCTGCAATGTAAAAAATCTAACCATTCAGTTATGATTAGGGTTTGGGTTAAGTTCAAATTGTTTGTGCAGATTTTGAATCCTGTGATTAATTTGGTCAGGACATCACAACTGCAAATATCATAAACTTATATTTTATGCAACCAGAGTCTCTAAATTAAATTATGTTACTACATAACAGAATAAGAGGAGCAGTAGTAAGCAGCAAATGTGGTAAATTATAACTTCTCTTTGGTTTCGAAGATTATGTTCTGAGATTTTCTTTCTTGGTTTTCAGATGCTTCCTTTTTATTTTCAGATAGGTGCCTTGTTTATTTCATTCCTATTTGATTGTATGATTTGTTTCATCTAAAGGTCAGAATAGCAAAAATTAAGGAAGAAGTTATAAAATCAGTGGTTTTACAATCCAGCGTGAGTCTGTGATCTTTGTAGCCTGTGCCTATGGAAAGTTCTGATTCTTCTTAACAAGTTTTAATTCTCTGGAGCTCAGTGTGCAAACTAGATTTGCTATCCTTTATATCCACTTGTTTTCTCTTTCAGAAATATCAAAATTGTATCTTTAAAAGTTTTAATGTCTCTCCTTTAGAAGAAGATTGAGAAAAATGTGGGCTGAATATATTAATTGTTGAGTGCATATGTTTGCTGGGTTACTTTTTAATTTGCCATTCTGAACCCAAGTGAATAATGTAATCAATGCTAGGAAAAGTGTTGGATGTCAGTGTTCAATAATCGTGGGATGTGGTTTAACATAGAAACTCCAGTACTCTATGCGACTTGAGAAAACATGAAACCATGACCTTCTTTTTGTCACTTGGCTCATTTACAATGGTTTAAAGTAACACGAGTTCTCCCATTTAAGATTTCTTTTATAAAATATCCAAATAGTAAATAATTTACTTAAACCACTTTTTAATTTAATTGAACTCTGATGCTTGACTTTAAACAGTCAATTTTGTGAATCAAGTTAGGACGTTATTATTGAAAATATAGTTAATTTGTATTATGCTAGTCAAATCTGTGACTAATAGTAATATAGTCATTTGAAGATAATATCCAGATGAAATATGCCTTTAATTCTCTCTACTAAGGAGGCAGGATTTTTATGAGTTTTCTTTCACTACTTCTCCTTATTTGAAGTAATCTTCAAGCAAGTTTCCCTCTTTTTATCAGAATTTAAGCTTGGAAACGTCTATATAGTTTGAGAGATTATAAAGTAGGACATTGTTTGTGATCCCTTTATTCATCTGCACATTACCAAAGTGTTTGTTGCAGAAGTTTAAGAGACCCTGGAACTGAGTCACAGTGTACTGTACTCTGAAGGGACTTTTATCCTAAAATACAAAGAGATTTTCAAACAGAGCTTTACATGCTAATGAAACTTAGATAAAAATAATAGCCACATTCAATCTCCTTCACATAATTTTTGATTCATTTATCCATATCATGTGATAACAGATAATGCACTGGACTCGATGATGGAGATAAATAATATGGCATGCAATTGTACATACTTCCTTTTA
Source organism: Homo sapiens (assembly GCF_000001405.40). Taxonomy (NCBI): domain Eukaryota; kingdom Metazoa; phylum Chordata; class Mammalia; order Primates; family Hominidae; genus Homo; species Homo sapiens. Next base: position 36,310,387 of record NC_000023.11, read on the forward strand.
TTGGAGCTTCAATCTGTGCCTCATCTTCTTTGCCTTAATGTGGCAGCTATCTGAATTTCATTTGAAATTCACCCAAAGAGTTTGGAAACTACATGCAGTGTTTGGTATCAAGTTTGTTAAAAAAAAAAAAACTTGAACAGAAGTGCCAGGTTTTCCATTAAACTTTCTCTTTTATGTTGCTATAATAACTTTATGTGCATTGAAATATGTTTGATATTTGAATATTGCACTTTTGCCCTCTTCTGCCTCAAAGTAAAAATACATAGAATTATTTTTCCATAAAATTAAAAGGAATTTGGAAAAGAAAGGAAAAATAAAACAATGCTTTTTAACAACAAAACTTTTCTTATCTGTCCAAATTTTTATATGCATTATACTTATTAAGTATTGCAAATAAAATATATGCAGTTAGGACACATAAGTTACGAATACTTATCTTCAAACAGTTTACAGAATGGAAATTCTACTTATCTGGAGTAGGACTATTTCCCCAGCCTCTAGACACGGAAAGAATAACCACACGCATTGGTCTTCAGTCAACTATTGTTATACCTTTCAAAAATCCCACAATGGAAGATGTCCTCATTGATATAATACTGACAAGTAAGTTGTTTTTCTTATATTTTACATGTTATTTTATAGGTATTTATCAGACTTATTTTATCATAGAATCAAAACATTTTAGAACAAATGAATACTTTAGAAATCTGTAAAGAAAATTATCTTATAAAAGAGAAAACAAGATTTGAGAGACGCAGTATTTTGGCTGAAATCACAGCTCATAATGGTACAGAATCAGAATTAGATAACTATATAACAAATCAAGTTCTTCCAAATTTGGTCTATAAACCCAAATATGTAAATTAGTAGATTTGTAAGATTCTTATGATATTATTCAAATATGCCAATGCTTATTCCTCAAAACTTTATAGAAATTCTGATATGGTGATTTTGTTTCCTTTTTGCATTTTCTTAATAAAGAGACAACATATTTGGAATAAATTGTGGCTTCAATCAGCCTTGTCCCTTTTTTATGCCATATTGAGGGTATATGTTTTTAATTAGATTATTTGAAGAGTTTGATCACTTTATATTAAACAAATAAATAATGTGAGTCTGAATTAAAAATTAACTCAGCATGAGTTTTTTGAAACACATTTTCAATCTAATATTGAGCAGTACCAATTTATCTTTTCAACTATTATTACTACTTCTACTAAAACTATTATTAGTGCAATTATTGGGTTAAAGTTATATATTTTATGGTTTTTTATATAAATGACCAACTTACTCTCCAGAATGTTTATACTTTTGCAATTCATGCTGCAATTAGAAGTATAATATAGACATTACCTATTTTCCAGAACTGTGTAAGCCCTGAGTAATAACATTGTCTTTAGTCTCCATCAATCTGATTGAAAGAACATTATATTGTATTATCATTGCAAATTTTTTATATAATGTTGAAGCTGAACATGTCATTTACCTGTTGCACTTTGGTGCTTTTCTATCATTTCTTCATCTTCTTGGAATGAAATAATTTTAAATATTAAGAAAGTAATGTCATCTCATGTAAAATTCCCTTATAAGAATTTTGGCTGCGATCAGGAGAGGCATGTGGTGTTTAATAAATGTTGATTGCAAGCTCAAGGAAATTAGCATTTTAAGATGGAAAAGACTTGAGCATATGTATAAGCAGAAGGGAGAAGCCAGGGTTGAACAGGAGTTAAAGATATAAACGAGGTAAGGTTTAACTGATAGACTAAGGGTCTAGGAGGGTTGGGATCAGAACAGAGGTAAAGGAAGAGCTGAACAGGAGAGGATTTCTTCCTTAGGTGGGGGTAAAATAAAACAAATATGGGTGTCAATAAATTGGTAGGTAGTGGAAGGGCTTTGGAATTAGGAGCAGTCATATATTTACATTTTTATCTGCTGAGGAAGAGAGATATAGTAGAGAATTTGAAGAGTGGAGTGGTGGTTTGAAATAACTGTTGGAGAAAAAGGAACATGGAGCTGACAAAATTAAATATAAAAGTTATTGTGTTTGGCTGGGATTTAAATCATAAATTTAGATATGCACCAAAAAAAATATGTGTTTGTGACGTTTATACCAATTGTAGGGCACAGAATTTTTAGAATGTCAGCATACAAGGCGTATCAATGGATCTTTCCAGGGAATGAAATTTTCAGGATAGGTGCAGCCAAATGACTTTATAACTATGAGCATGTTATAAAAACAAATTTGGATTAAGATTTTAACATTAAAAATAAATTTTAAAATAATGTGTGACTTTCTAGTTTTCTAACATTGCTGTACATTTCTTTCTGCTATGTAACAATAAAACATAGCTTGACAATTAAAAATTGATCAGTCTTTTGCAGTTCAAAACAGTCTCTTTTAAGTAAACTCACTTGCTCTTGGGCAAATGTTCAGGCTTTGTTTCTCCCCCTTCTTCCTTAAACCTGAGGAGATATGAGACAAAGGAAGATTCACAGACCTTTAATATCTTGTTTCTCTTTCTCTGTCTCCCTATCCTATGTGAAAAAGAACTTCTTTCCCCGTTGTTGCTGATGGCATCTCCCTTTCTGTTATATTCTTATCCTTCTCCCTTTTGTGGTATCTTTTTTAGGCATTATCTACGTATCTACTTGTGCTTATAGTCCTTGGTGGCTAAGCCTCACAATTTGATCTACAGAAAAACATGGTCTACAGAAAAACATGACTGATGAGAAGAATTAAAATATTTAATATATATGCAAAATATACTCATTAAAAATAGAGATTAATACTATATTAGTTCATTTTTGCACTGCTATAAAGAAATACCTGAGAATTGGTAATTTATAAAGGAAAGAGGTTTAATTGACTCACAGTTCTTCATGGCTGGGGAGGCCTCAGGAAACTTACAATCATGGTGGAAAAAAAACAGGCATGTGTTACATGACGGCAGGGAAGAGAGATCAAGTGTGTAGGAGGAAATATCAAACACTTATAAAACCATCAGATCTCATGAAAATTCACTCACTCTCATCAGAACAGCATAGGATAAACCGCCCCATAATCCAATCAGTTCCCACAAGATTCCTCCCTTATCACCTGGGGATTACAATTTAAGATGAAATTTGGGTGGTGGGGACACAAAGCTAAACCATATCAAATACCTTCTCATTTAAATATTTGGAAATGTCTTTAGATTATTTCATGATAGGAGTAGGCAATCTCATTTTGTCTTTTAAAAGAAGATGTAAATTTTCTTACAGATTCTACAGAATTAAAAAAAAATTCTTAGGCAAGTTGATAACAAGACTCATCTCACCAAATGGTTCCTTGCTGGTGTGAGGAATCTCACAGCTTTTCAGATCCTGCATCCTGCATTCCTCATTTTTCTCTCTCTCTCTCTCCTCATTAGCTGCAAATCCTGGAATGATTTCTTGCCCTTATGGATAGCATGGCAACTTGTGCATAGCTTGATTTAAATATCTGTCACACTCATTGTAGCTAATATTTGTTAATCCCACAATATTTGTGAGATCTTTGCAGACATGATCTATTAGTAACTTGAGCAAATGAGACAGAAGAGGCTTTTGATGCTTGTCTGCTGAATGACTGGACCATAAATAAAATACCCAAATTTCTAAAACTTAGAGATAATACGGTATAAATTAAGTACCAAAGATCTTTGGAATATCAAAAGACATTATTTCTGGGAGAAGTAATAAAAATAGAAATAGCCAAGACATTAGCAGGAGAAAAGACAGAGAATTGGGCAATCCAGAAGTTTGATAGTGAGTTTGAAATTCTAAAAATGCTGCCTTCTTGGAAAAAGTAGTGAATTTGAAGATCTTTATATATTTTATATATTTCTAACTCTGTCTGTGTAGTGATGGAAGAAAAATTTTAGCTGTATTAAGTTTAACAGAGTTTAATTGAGCAAATAATGATTCACGAATCAGGCAGCCTCCAAAGCCAGAGTAGGCCCAGAAACCAGCATAGCCACGTGGTGTAAGATTTATGGACAGCAAAAGGAAAGTGACATACAGAAAACAGAAGGGAGGTGCAAAAACAGCCGATTGGTTACAGCTCTGAGTTTGCCTTATTTGAACATGGTTTGAACACTTGGCAACCTCTGATTGGCCAAACCTCAATGATTGGCACAAGAGTAGGCTTACAGTCTGTTTACAGTTCCATATAGCTTATGGTTCTCAATGTACAGAGAAACCTTTAGGCTGAACTTAAAATATGTAAGGAGGCAGTTTTAGGCTAAACTTTTTAATGCTATCTATCTATCTGCCTATCTATCTATCATCTATCTATTTATCTATCTATCATCTATCTACCTACCTATCTGAGAGAGAGAGAGAGGCAAAAGAGAGTGGAGATATGCTAGGATATTGAAAAAGTCTTAAATACTATCATAAGGAATCCAACTTTTATCCTTTAGATAATGAGAGTTTTCAAAAGATTACCTGTACTTTATAACCCGCATTTTGAACGCTAACTGTAGAATTATTTGTGGATGACGGATATGGATGGGTTGGGGGAAAACTGGAATTGAGAAGCAAAGCTCAGAAGATTTAAGCCAGTAACAGTGGAAAAGTCCATGACCACAGGTAGCAGAAAAGCTCACAGTATATACCTAGAATTTTCCCTAAAGCCTGAGAATCTGTTTCTTTAGCAAACATATTTAATGTTTCATGTGTCCAGACTACTTTTTCTTCAGACAACTATACTATGTTGCCTAAAAGTATGTTTCTAAAGGCTTACCTGTATTCCTGATATTTTTAATACTCAAGATGAGTGTTTTGTTATATCCATCTTAAAATAGTCCGATGCTAAATATTATTGTGGTTGTGCTATTTGGAGAAGAAATTGAGCACCTTGGGCACACACTGGTCTGTGCATTACAACAAACTTACCATTATTTCCTAAGGAGAATTTTGGCACCATTCACAGGGAATTACTTAGTGGAGTGGCTTGCCCTTCACTCAAGCATAAATACTTGTTATGCTCCACAATTTGCACATGAGGGTGTGAACCCGACCTTTAACTTAACTTTCAGTTAGGGCATATGGTGCCCTTGTAATTTAACAGGTGATACACAGTTGTGATTGAATCTGGGGACACATAATAGTTATCAATTATAAAGACTATACTGAGCACTTCATGTGTGTGATTTTTTAAGTTATCTCAGGACAACAAATATTCAACTAGTATTTATCTGGGCCATTGTCCAGCTACCAACACCTGTAACTCTTGGATATTTCTTCTGGCTGCCCTAGTGAGTTAATTTTTCCTCAACCTATGGATGACAGGAAGTGGTGGAAAAATATTACAGTTCCCATTCCCCTGAGCAGTATACCTTTGAGATGTGTGTTCTGCACTGGCTCTCAGAGTTCCCTAGCTGCCTTGAGCCTCATGTATCCACAGTAGTAACTTCCTTTATAATACACCATTCATTGGAGTCCTTCTAATCTTTGTCTCACTTTTGCTCTTCCCTACTGGCATTTCCTGAGGTCACGTCCCAAATAACAGCTTCTGAGGAAACCCCAACTAAGACAGGAACCCTCTGAAATTGGCGTTATATCTGTTTTAAGGAGGATAAAATTGATTAATGGAGAGGCTTAACAACTTGTTCACGATCATGGAGCTATTAAGTGAAGGAAGTAAGATTAAAAACCCAACTCTGCAAAGCCAGGTTTCTGTGTACCTTTGCACATGGCTTCTCAGTAAGCAGGCAGAACAATTTCTCACTAACTGTTCACCTAGTTATATATAAAACTGAAAAGCTCAAATGGAGAGATAGTAAAGGATTACAGGAAAGACTTGCAATCTGTTTCTGTGAGTGGTCTGAAATCTACTTAACAGATTAAATAGGAGCCAAAAGCCCAGTACTTGAAATCAACTACACCCTCCCCCAACCACATTAAGAATTGTGTTCAGTGAATTTCACTGTGTTGTGATGTCATTTACCCATAACACCAGATTGCATAGAAATATTCTAAGGAGGTCATCATGATGTTGGTGGAGATGTTATCAAAGGATTTCTTATTACATTGCAATCTTTTTTAAATGAAATCTTTTTAAGAATCAGCTGTTAGTATCAGGAAGAATGGTTGCCTCTTTTGAGCAATTGTCTGGTTTTTGTACTGTGGAGCCTGATTATGTCACTACATTTTTCCTCAGTATATTAGTTTCTAAGAAAACATTTTGGCTTATTCCAAGTAAGTGACATGACCATACTGTGTCTCATCCGTGACTGCAGATGGTGTCCCTAATCTTGTTTCAACTTTCTAAAAAATTATTCTAATTCATCTTTTTTGTGTTTTATATTTTTGTGACATACCCAACTTAGGAATAGAACTCTTCACGCAAGGAGACATTCAACCTGTAACAGGAACAGGGTAATTTTTTGTTTTGAGACATGGTCTCACTTGGTCCCGTAGGCTAGAGTGCAGTGGCACGATCTCAGCTTACTACAGCCTCCACCTCCCGGGCTCAGATGATTCTCCCACTCCACCCTTCCCAGTAGCTGGGACCACAGGCATGTGCCAGCATGCCCAGCTAATTTTTCGTATTTTTTATAGGGACGAAGTTTTGCCATGTTGCCTAGGCTGGTCTGGAACTCCTGACCTCTAGTGATCCACCTTCCTTGGCCTCCCAAATTTCTGGGCTTATGAGCCACTGCGCCCAGCCCTCAGAGTGAATGTTGGAATTCACATGGTAGAATTAGTTATGAAAATCCCTGGAGGTCCTCTGAATCTTATCTAAAGTACATCCAGAGTTGAACAAATATTTATGTAATATATGTAGTAATCATTGCAAATAGCCAATCAGGATAAGCATGGTTTTATACTTAAGAAGAGAGACAAATTGGTGTAAGAAAATCTCCCAGAACCTAAAAATCCCTCCCAAATTCAGACATGCAACTTTTAAAATATTTGAATTAAGAAATAAATAGTATTGAGAAATTTGAGACTTTTTGGCAGGGAAGTTGGGGTATCAAATATATTAAGTTTTGTGTTTTTTTTTTCTTTCTTTTTGAGACGGAGTCTCACTCTGTCGCCCAGACTGGAGTGCAGTGGTGTGATCTCAGCTCACTGCAAGCTCCGCCTCCTAGGTTCATGCCATTCTCCTGCCTCAGCCTCCCGAGTAGCTGGGACTACAGGCGCCCACCACCACACCCAGCTATTTTTTTTTTTTTTTTGTATTTTTAGTAGAGACGGGGTTTCACCGTGTTAGCCAGGATGGTCTCGATCTCCTGACCTCATGATCCGCCCACCTCGGCCTCCCAAAGTGCTGGGATTACAGGCGTGAGCCGCCGTGCCTGGCCTATATTAAGTCTTTATAACTTAGTTTAATTGGGTTATTTGTCTTAGTTTATTTTGCTCATATTAACATATTGTTAATATTATTGTACTAATAAAAATATATTATTGTACAAATAAAAAGTAAATGTAGAATAATTATAACCATTTTTGAAGTGAGTAATCTGAGACTCTACTTGCTTACAATTATTTTATTTTTAGATGCTGATAAGATATCTTAACATTTGGAACTTGTTTTATCTGATTCTTGATTAACAACACTCCAAATTCAGTAAACAATATTTGAGAGCTTATAAAAATTCATATTCCCAGGTCCACATTCATTTATTCTGATTCATAGGGGCTAGGGTGAGGCCCTGCCATCACAAGCTATTCCAATGCAGGTTTTCAGAAGACTACACGTTTAGAAACACTAATCTATACACAATGATCTCAAAACATGTTTCCCTTTTATCGTATACCACTGTTAGTAAATATCTTTTGGCATTTCCTTCAATGTATATATATTTACATTTGAAAAATAACCAGTTAGCACTATCAACTCATATTTTTAATGTAAGTAGAGCTTATCTTTTTAATAGAGAATTAATAAACATTTTGTATCTATTGGTTTGAACTTGTTAACATTGTTAACATTGGATAAATGTTGTTTATTTGTGCATATTTATATACAGGCCATCCTTCTGTATCCATAGGGGATAGATTTCAGAACCCCCAAGGATATCACAATCCACAAATCCCCATGTCCCTGATACAAAATGGCACAGTGTGTGCATGTAACCTACACATATACTTTCATATATTTTAATCATCTCTAGATTACTTAGAACACCTAATACAATGTAAATGCTATGTAAATAGTTGTCATAGTGTATGATGTAGGGAATAAAGACCAGGAAAAGAGTCTGTACATATTCAATGTAGATGAAACCATCCATTATCTTTTTGAAGATTTTCAATCTGCCTTTGGTTGAATCCATGGATATGGAACCCATGGATACAGAAGGCCAACTGTATTCATCAATACAATCTATTTTTAAACAGCAGGCTCAAATAGACTCTTAATATCTACTTGTTGAGTATTTCACTCTTAATATCTGCTTGTTGAGTAGTTCAAATTAAAATTCCAAGATTTTTAAAATATAGAGATGTGGTCTTGCTATGTTGCCCAGACTGGCCTTGAACTCTTGGCCTCAAGCAATCTTCCTGCCTCAGACTCCCCAGTAGCTGGAATTTTAGGCACATGCCACTGTGTCCACCTGAAAGTTCCAAGAATTTATGAGTTTATTTTTTAAACATCATAGATAAAACCATTTATATTATTAAATATGTTCTTCAAAAATGCCATTTAAATCTCATTTTAAAATATACTTTGAAAGATATTCATCTTATAAGTTTCCTATTAGAGGATAATTTTTATTCTATTTCCATCTCCACCGCTGTTTTTCTTCTTGAATGTGACATTGAAGTGTAATATCTCTTTATTTTTTAATTAGGTGTGGAACATCCCAGGAATCTTGTCATGGATCATTGCTGGGATAGCTTCATCTATGAGAGTTCTGCCTTCAGATTTAGTTCTCCGAGTGAAATACAAGGTACAGGATTTCTACCTTACATTCTATCATTCTGTTTGTTGTTGCATTTCAGAGATAATGAAATATATGTCTGTTGCCTTAGTAAATATTTAACACAAATTAAAAATATAATTTTAAAATTTTGGAACAAATTTTAGTAAGTTGATAGAAAAACATGGATGGTAAAACATATATATATATATATATTACATTTGTATTATTTTTAATTCCTCAGGACATAAGTAAGATTTGCCAAGTATTTTAACTTTGAAATTTTCCATGGTTGAATAGCATACCACTTAACACATGGTTATATGAGTCAAGAAAGATTTCAGAAAATTATAAATAGTGTGTTAAAACTACTGGTACTAATAAAAAGTAGTATATTGATAGTAATAAAAAGTAGTATCAGTAGTTTTAATACTAATAAAAAGTATCAGTAGTTTCAACTACTGTTTTACTGCGAATTTATTACAGGGTATAAATTTTTGTTGTTGTTTGGTTTTGTTTTGTTTTTGAGACTATTTTTGTTGTTGTTGTTGTTTAGTTTTGTTTTGAGACAGAGTCTCACTCTTGTCACCCAGGCTGGAGTGCAGTGGCACAATCTCGGCTCACTGCAACCTCTGCCTCCCAGGTTCGAGCAATTCTCCTGTCTCAGCCTCCCAAGTAGCTGGGACTACAGGCGCACACCATCCCGCATGGCTAATTTTTGTATTTTTAGTAGAGATTGGGTTTCACCATATTGGTCAGGCTAGTCTCGAACTCCTGACCTCAGGTGATCCACCTGCCTTGGCCTCCCAAAGTGCTGGGCTTACAGGGGTGAGCCACCACGCCCAGCCAATATCTATTTCTTCTATATATTAACCACCCCACCTGTGTATTGATGAATAGGAAAAATTCTAAGAACTAATGAAGTTTCTTAAAAATCTAACGCTAAAAAATTATGAATTTGCTTAACAATAACAATGTTTTAAAAATATAAAACATAATTGTTTTGGTAAATATGAATTATCTTAACATAATTAATACAAAAATACTGACTGAAATAAATAACCACTACTAACATTTCAGTAAGAATGGGTTAATTAAGTTCTCTTAAATTTTCTGTAGCCATAGCCATTTATAAAAACATCCTAAATGTCATTAATTGAATTCATTTGCTACAACTTCAAGGGACAGGTGGATGTTATTATTATTCTCACTGAATTATGGAGAGTGCAATTCAGAAAAATTAACTTACACAGAATCAAAATAATTGCTTAATGGCATACTTGAATCTTTTTGTGTTTCAAAATTTTTCTTTCTATTTCTTTGCAATGCATTAAAAAGAGTATGAACAACAGTTCACAAAAGATAAAGTACAAATGGGCAAAAAATGGTTTAAAATATGTTCAATGTCACTAATAATCAGATACTGATTTTTAAAAATGACCATCTAGATTTTTTCCCTTTTTTTAAGTTTGTTTTTGTCTTTTAATGGAACTACAAATGCTAATGTTTCTATAGTGAAACTGGAATAATCAAACAATACTGATGGAAATACAAATTACTACATAGTTTTTGGAAAGCACTCTTTGTAATGTATAAAAAGAAACTTTGTAACTGTCATTCTTTTGACCTAGTAATGCCAATTCTGTTGGTTGCAATGTAAAGTAGTACAACTGCTATGGAGATCAGTTTGGAGGTTCCTCAGAAAACTAAAACTACACCTACCATATGATCCAGCAATCCCACTGCTAGGTATATAACCTTAAGAAAGGAAATCAGTACATTGAAGAGATATCTGTACCTCCATGTTTATTGCAGCACTATTCACAATAGCCCAGATTTGGAAGTAACCTAAGTGTCCATCAACAGATGAATGTATGAAGTAAATATGGTACATATATACAGTGTAGTAGTATTCAGCCATAAAAGAGAGAGAGAGAGATACTGCCATTTGCAACAACGTGGATAGAACTGTAGGTCATTATGTTAAGTGAAAGACAGGCTTCTCATGTTCTCACTTATTTGTGGGATCTAAAAATAAAACAATTGAACTCATGGAGATGGAGAGTAGAATGATGGTTACCAGAGATTGGGAAGAGTAATGGGTGGCGGTGGGGCCATGAGGGGAAGAGGGCAGGTTGATGGGTACCAAAAAATAGAAAGAATGAATAAGTTCTGGTATTTCATAACACAACAAAGTGACTATAGTAAAAAATAATTTAATTGTACATTTAAAAATAACTGAAAGGGTATAATTGGACTATTTGTAACACAAAGAGTAAATGCTTGAGGTGATGGATATCTCATTTACCCTGATGTGATTATCACACATTCTATGCCTGTATCAAAATATCCCATATACCCCATGAATATATATACCTACCAGATACCCACAAAAATTAAAAATTGAAACAAAGATATATTCAAAGTATGGTTAATGTATGAATAAATATACTTGATGTTGCATTTTTTATAATAGCAAAAAATTGAAAACTGCCTTCATGTCAAATAATATTGTTATATTTGTGGCAACTATTTATACGTCTGCTTATACTTAATTTCACTGATTCATTAAATACGTGAGCCATTTTCTGTTTTTAACATTTCTTCCATTGATTCTACACTATCAATGTCATTCCACATTTTGAAATCAATTGAAAATTCACCTACATTTTCTTTTTCTTCTCCTTTGTTTTTAATGAGGAAATGGTTACAGGTAGGTAGGCAACTTTTACTCCTTCAATTTATCTATATTGTGCTTTTTTGCTGTGTAATGAAAACCTAATTTGATTGCCCCTCACTTAATTAGCCACTTTTCCATTTTTTCTTGAATAATAATTATTATTTTGTTGCTATTTATGTTTGCAATGTGACTTATCTGATATTCAGATCATATATATACTTTTCCCTGCATCTGTATTTCAGATCTAATGCCAGTGCCATACAGTTTAAACCCCATGGTTTTGTTTTCTTATTTTATTTCTTTCTCTCTGGTGTCTTTAAATGATTTATTTTCTCTTACCTACTTATTCTTCTAGTAAAAATTATAATAAATTTTTATCAAGTCCCGCCCAAATCCCAATTATTATTTAATGGCAATTACATTTGGGGACAACTACATCTTTATAGTATTTAAACTTCTTTTTCAGGGCCATTCATTTCCTCACTATTTTGAAACACAGTATTTATGACTGCCGATAAAATCTATATTTACAAAACAAAAATATAAACCTTCTAATAACTACTTTTATTTTAAATACTACAATTAGTAGTTATATATAATGCAATTTTTATGCAACAAAGAGACCAACATTTGTGTTCCATTTTAAGAATTTTAGCTTGAAAAATAGAAATTAAATGTAGTTTATTAATTATAATTTCTATTTTTCTTATTGTCATAAAATATTTTTTCAAATTTAAACCAGTTTCTTGGTGAATTTCTTATTGTCTTCTCTAGTTTCTGCCATGACTTGCTTTCTAAGATAAACAATGCACACTGGCCTATGTAGTGTTTTTGACAGTTCATGATGTGCTCCCTGCTGCTCTATATAATAAGATCTCCAAAGGGGCTTGTTTATTTTATAGAAACTTTTTGTTTGCTCTGATATTTTACATGCTATAATACTAGTTGTAGGAGTTTTTCTGCTTATTTGAGGAACATAAAACATTAAGAGTACAACAGAAATGGGAGTTTGGCTTCTTATGTCACTATTGGCATAAGACATTGGGGCACTATTGGTACTATAAAAATTACCTCTAGGGACACTATCATGTAACAGAAAAAGCATTTATACCCTTAAAACTAAGTGTTCCTACATTAACATAGAACATTTTCTTGGTGAATATTTGAGAACTGAAAAGATTACCTTATCCTTGACCAGTGTTTACCTAAGTATTTTGTAAAAACAAGAACACAAAGAAACAGAAACAACTAAGTTATATACACCTACTATGTAGCTACAAAAATAGAATTAAAAACAAATAAAAACCTTAAGTTCTATGCTTAAATGAATTTGAGAAATACTTGGCTAAACAAAGTTTATTTATGGCAGGGTTTCCTAGGCCTTTTTTTTTTTCTCTCTCTCTCTAATGCTATGTGTATTTTTAGGTAGAGGAAGTGATATGTATTTCAAAATGTATTTGGCCAAGAAATATACTTTTGTAAATGTTATTTTCTCATAAACTGATTCAGCAGGGAAGTTCTAAACTTGCACCTTCTAATTTGCCATATGATGTGACAATGCATTCTATTCAATTTTATTCAATATTAGGCAGTAAGGGAGACTGAGTGACAACTGTTACGACTAACATATGTTCCTCAAGTATGAATGCTACTGCTTCATTTCATAATAGCAGCCATTCTATTCATCATCCCAGTCAATCTGACTTTACAAAAATTTTAGTCTCTGTATTACAAAAGGACATGGATAAAAATAATTTCTGTAATTATTTCTCATATTACTTTCTTTCAGAAATTTTATAATTCCTTGTGCTTATAAAGTTGTTTAGTAAAATTAGATCTAGATGTAGTTATATGTTGACCTAGATTGGAGCTCTAGCCACTGAAACTATATTTTTCCCATTGGAAAAAGGGTTCACAGCCCTTTTATTCCTTTAAGCAAATATATATTTCTAGAAATTATTTCCTTGGAATGAGCTTCATACTATACTATAGATAGTGAAGTACTTCATTTTGTTTTTAGAAAGTTCACTGTTCCTTTCGTTATCATTCAAAACTGGTGACAAGGACTAGACAGGAAGAAGAAAAGGGTCTTTCTGTCAGTGAAGAATCTTAACCTGCCAGGTTTTCACTTTGAAATGTTATCTTGTCTACAGATTTAATTAGGTCAAATAACCAAGAACGACACAAGAGTGTAGGTGAATTGTGATTTCAAAGGACATCCTTCTACAAAGCTAATAAAGTTATAGGACTTGCAGTATTCTTTTTTCTCTTTTAATAGGAAATAATCAAATGTTACTGAAACAAGATTAAACTTGTGGAAATACATTAGCTGTAACATCGTACTGGGTCATCTGACTAACATTTAAAAAAAGTTGGAGGTTTAGCATTATTACATCTCTAGTGTTACATACTGTAGCACTAGAGAATAAAGTACTACTTTACAAATCTACACATAGATGTAAAATTAGACCTAGAATGTTAGGAAGGCAGCCAAGGTATGGGGACTGAGCATTATGGTCAAATAATCTGTGTTCTTCTTTTGACTGTAACATGGATAAGCTGTATTAGCTTGGGCTAGTTTCTATCCTGTAAGAACCCTATTTTGGACATTATTAAAAAATCAGTTTTACCTAGTAAGACTTTTTGATAAACATACACAATTGTGTATGTGAAGACATTTCTAAACACTAAAACTATGTACAAATATATGTTATTGGGATTATTATAGATGAAAATAGGTTAACTTCAAAATGGACTTCTACTTTTCCTCAATTTTATAGGAAACAAGATCTTTCACCTGCTGTTACATGCCAGGAAATACATTACTGGAAAAGAAAGAAATAGTTATTTTTCTTATGAAATCCATTTTTTTTCTAGATGAAATAATTCCTAAACAAATGGTTTTAATTTTATAAACTAAAATTACTAATTGATTAAATAATTTTGGTATCTTGGTGAATACCAGTTTTCTAGAAAATAACTTTTTATGGGACTGTTGATATCTATATCTACAGTTACATCTATATCTAGATTTAAATAGATATAAAAAATTATCCAGCCTTATTCCTTTTGACATTCCTAATCCTTCATATATTTTACTCTTCCTCAACATTTCTGTTAGAAAAGACTCTCCATATTTCAGTTATTCGTATGTTACCTTCACAATTTTTGGCATACCTTTGTATCACCTATATAATAATTTAAAGGCATTCTAATGGAAAACGGTGTCATTTACCATGAACAATAGCAATATACAATGTGCCAGGAGCTATTTTAATCACTTTACAAATATTAATTGATTTAGTCCTTACAACACTATAAGATAAATTCCATTAATATTCCTATGTTAGAGATGAGTATGCTGAGATATATAGGAGTTGTGCCCAAGAACTCACAGACAGTACGTGCTGGAACTTAGGTTTGAATTTGGGGCTTAGACTCTTACCCTCTACACAGTACTTCTATAAAACACCAATAAATAACTTAAAAAATGTAAACATATAGATCCCAGTATCACTCGAAAGTATCTTAAACATCACTGTTACGGAATAGTTTTCCTGGGAAGAAGACTCTGAAAGGAGGGTAGTGGGTAGGAAGTGTATTAGGGAGTGCTCTGAGGATCAACACAACTGAGGGAAGAGGATGAAGCAGGATTGAGTAGGGGGAGAAGGTGGGGACAAAGGTGTCAGCTCACACAATGGCTAGCACTGAAGCTAGGATAGCTCCTCAGAGTTGCCCCAATTTGGGATGAAGATGCCAGGATTTTACACATCCCTCCCTCACCTTCCACATCAATTCATCATTGAATGCACTCTGCCCTCAGGAAAGGAGTTTTACCTTGGTCAGGTGACTCTCTTCAGCTGAAATTTAGGTACTATATACTGGCAATAATCTCAATAATCTGGGGCATAAAAAAGTCATGAAGATATAGTTCTCTTTTACCTAGAAGCTTTGTTGTTTACTTTTCATAATTTCGTTACTCTCCATAATTTCAAGTATGGTAAGATATAGGACTCAAAGTTCCATTTAGTCATTATGTATACCAAATTTTCCTAGCAGCATTTATGGTTAAAGCCATACATTTTTTCATTGATTTTTTGTGCTATTTTTCTCCCAAGTCAGGTAACAGTATATGTATGAGCCTGTTTCTAGACTTTATTTAGTTCAAATATTCTATTCATCTATCCTTGCAGTAATACCATACTGTCCACTACTACAGCTTATAGTAAGTCTTGATATTTGGTAACATCAATACTTCAAACTTTTTCTCTTGTTCAGGATTTTTATAGTTATTCTAGATCCTTTGCACTTACAGAAGAATTTTGGAATCAGCTAGCCAATTTCCAAACACACACACACACACACACACACACAAACGTGCTAGGATTTTGATTTGAATTGTGCTATAAAGATACCCAAAAATTTAGAAGCGACTTTGAAACTGGGTAATAGGTAGAGAGTTGAACAGTTTGGAGGGCTTAGAAGACAAGAAGATGTGGGAAAGTTTGGAACTTCCTAGAAACTTGTTGAATGGCTTTGATCAAAATGCTCATAGTGATATGGACAATGCAGTCCAGGCTGAGGTGGTCTCAGATGGAGATGAGGAACTTATTAGGAACTGGAATAAAGGTGATTCTTGCTATGCTTTAGCAAAGAGACTGGCGGCATTTTGCCCCTGCCCTAGAGATTTGCGGAACTTTGAACTTGAGAGAGATGATTTAGCGTACCTGCAGAAGAAATTTCTAAGCAGCAAAGTGTTCAAGATGTGACCTGGGAGCTCTTAAGAGTGTTCAGTTTTAGGAATTCACAAAGAGATGGTTTGGAATTGGAACTTATATTTAAAAGGGAAGCATAGCATAAAACTTGGGAAAATTTTCAGCCTGACAATGCAACTGGGGGAAGGACACTCTCTTCTATAAATGGTGTGGGGATAACTGGCTAGCCATATACAAAAGTATGAAACTGGACCCTTCCTTTCACCATATACAAAAATTAACGCAGGGTATATTAGAGATGTATATGTAAGACCTCAAACTGTAAAAATCCTACAAGAAAATCTAGAGAATATCTTTCTCTACATTGGCCTTGGTGAAGAATTTTCAGCTAAATCACCAGAATCCATTGCAAAAAAAACAAAAAATTGACAAGTGGGACCTAATTAAACTAAAGTTTTCTGCACAGAAACAAACAGACCAACAAACATACAAAAACCTGTAGACACAGTAAACACATTGGGAGAAAATAGTCACAAACTTTACATCTGACAAAGGTCTAGTATCCAGAATCTATAAGGAACTTCAACAAATCAACAAGCCAAAAACAAATAATCTCATTAAAAATGGACAAAGGACACGAAAAAACACTTTTCAAAAGAAGATGTAAAAGTAGCCAACAAACGTATGAAAAAATGCTAAACATCACTAATCATTAGAGAAATGCAAATCAAAACCACAAGGCCGTACCATCTCACGCTAGTCAGAATGGCTATTATTAAAAAATCAAATAATATCTGATGCTGGCATGGTTGTGGAGAAAACCAAACTCTTCTACGCTGTTGGTGTGAATGTAAATTAGTTCAACTTCTGTGGAAAGCTATTTGGAGATTTCTCAAAGAAGTTAAAACAGAGCGTCCATTTGACCCAGCAATTCCATTACTGGGTATATACTCAAAAGAAAATAAATCATTCTACCAAAAAAGACTCAAGCATGCATATGTTCATCATAACATTATTCACAATAGCAAAGATATGCAATCAATCTAGGTGCCCATCAACCGTGGACTGAAAAAAGAAAATGTGGTACATATATATCATGCAGCAATAAAAAACAATGACATCCTGTCCTCTGCAGCAACGTGAATGCAGCTGAAGGCAATAATCCTAAGTAAGTTAATGCAGGAACAGAAAATGAAATACCATATGCTCTCACTTATAAGTGGGAGAGAAACATTGAGTACACATGGACATAATTATGGGAAACAATAAACACTGTGAGGGTGGGAGGGAAGGGGGATTGAGTTGAAAAACGACTCATTGAGTACTATGCTCACTACGTGCATGATGGGATTCATACCCCACACCTCAGCATCATGCAATATACCCATGTAACAAACCCACACATGTTCCCTCTGTAGAGAATATAAAAGGTGAAATTATTTTTTAAAAGACTCCTTATGTTGAATATACAAAAATCAATTCAATTTGAATATAGTAGTAATAGATAATTGGAATTTGACATTAAAAATGTCATTTAAAATACAACAAAAACCCTGAAATTGTTAAATAAAAATTTAACAAAACACATGCAAGATCTTTATACTAAATACTAAAAAATCTGATGAACAAAATCCAGTAAGCCCAAATAAATAGGAAGCGTATTATGTTTATTGATTGGAACACCTAATATTGTTAAAATGGCAATGTTCTCTAACTTGATATATAGATCAAATGAATTTCCAATCTATGTCCCAATATGCTTTTTTGTAGATATTGAAAAGCTTGTTATAAAATATATATGAAAAGACAAAAGAGCAGTAATGTCCAAAAAATTTTGTAAAAGAAAAGCAAATTGGGGCCGGGCGCGGTGGCTCACGCCTGTAATCCCAGCACTTTGGGAGGCCGAGGCGGGTGGATCATGAGGTCAGGAGATCGAGACCATCCTGGCTAACAAGGTGAAACCCCGTCTCTACTAAAAATACAAAAAATTAGCCGGGCGCGGTGGCGGGCGCCTGTAGTCCCAGCTACTGGGGAGGCTGAGGCAGGAGAATGGCGTGAACCCGGGAAGCGGAGCTTGCAGTGAGCAGAGATTGCGCCACTGCAGTCCGCAGTCCGGCCTGGGTGACAGAGCGAGACTCTGTCTCAAAAAAAAAAAAAAAAAAAGAAAAGCAAAATTGGAAGATGTACACTAACAGAGTTAAGGATAAACTTAAAACCTACCTAAATTTGTATTGGCTAAAGATAGACATATGAATCAAATGAGCACAAGGGAAAGCCCAGTTTTAGACACACAACTATAATCAACTGAGGTTTTGTGTTCTCAAGAAATACAAAATATATAATTCATACAAGCAAGATCCACTTATGGATGATCAAATTAGATGGTGAAAGCTCAAAGACAAAGAGAATATTTGCATCGGCTCAGTGTATTTCTGTGAAATGTTTATTAAATACAAACAGAAAATACTAATATTACAGTGATGAAACCTGGAGGATACCACCTCGATCCTATGATAAAGATTATCATCACTGGTAATAAAATATATCAACATCATATATCCCATGATAAAGAGGCACTGAAAAGGGAAAATAGTCTCTCTGATAATATTCTCCAAAATATATATTCTCAATCTTATCATAAAATAATCAGGCAAACTCAAATTGAGGGATATTCTATAAAATAATTGACTTGCACTCTTCAAAGGTGACAAAGTCATGAAAAGACAAAGAAAGGTAAGGACTTGTCACAGATTGAAGGAGAGTAAGAGATAATGGCAGCATCTAAATGCAATGTGAAATCTTGGATTGTATTCTGTGAAATGAAAGAACAGCAGTGGAATAATTAACAAATTTGAATACAATATATAATTTAATTATCTTGTTCCAATGTTTATTTCTTCATTCTGATAAGTGTACATTTTCAATAATAAGTTATAAAAAATAAGTCAGTTGAAAAATATCATTTCTGGCATTATTTCAGACATCATTTTTGTTTTGTTTTGTTATTAAAAATCTATTGCATAGTATATAATTTCTATAAGATCAAGGGTTTTATTTTTAATTTAAGGTAAATTTGGGTAAGTAATTTGATGAGTTTTGGTTGCTACTTTACAAAAAGCAGAACAAGGAGGATATCAAAACTAGACAGCTTATGTTCATTCCTGGAAAAATCCTTGATATACCATTAGAATAATGTAAAATGCTTAAAATAAAAGCAAACATGACAAGTAGCAATAGCACAGATAAATTAAGAGCAAGTTCTGGCATGATAATCTAATTTTATTTTGCTAAATTCTTATATTTTTGAAAATGTGTAATAATTATATTCTTTATTTTCAACAAAGCATTGGATAAATCTATCATAATATCTTTTTGTACAAGTATGTGTATTTTAGTACATTGAACACTTATATCCCAAACTTCTGTTAAATGATCTTTACAGATTTTCAATAATTATAGTCACTCGCTTCCTTATGCTTTCAATTTTATTATCTATCTTCCAGCTTCTATTAATATTCACTAGGCAAAACTAGAACCATGATAAATTAGTCAGTGATTGCTGCATTAATACTGAGTAGCAAACAACCCTATAATCTGTGTCTTACAACCAGAAACATTTATTTATATTTTTGCTCATGGATCTGCTTATCAGCTGGGCATTTTAGATTTTTGCATCAGATTAAGGACTGCTCTATATATTTACACATTCTGAGACATAGCTAGAACATGTTTTTCTCATTGTAGTTAGAAGATGCACAAGAGGGCAAGTGGAAATCCGATATACCTCTTAAGTTCTCAACTTGTATATTATCACCTAAATCCACATTCCATTGGCCAAATTAAGTCACATGGTTATACTCATTATCAATGAAGATGGGAAATATACTCTGCCTACCTTAACATGGGATGCATCAATGTCAAATCAAAATCAAAGCAAGGGCCATGATTACATAATAATAAAGAGGAGTGAAATATCTGGAACAGTAACCCAGTCTACTACATAAGGCACAAGCCAGCTCTCTGCTCTTTCTACACTTGCACGCAAATAGCTGAACGTGGCTGGAGGACAAAGAAAGCAAAAAAGAAAGCTCTGACTTTACTTCCGTTACTAAGACTAAATTGTCTGTGCCACCATCTAAAGCCAGCCCCTCTACTCGAACCCTAGATTCTGCCTTTTCTAATTTTTCAATGATCATACCCGTCAATTATCCCTCATGTCACCTATATCTACCTATATCAATGTTTCCCTCTTTTAGATTATTCCTACAGTATATACCAGCAAGTTACAATATCAATATATATAAATAAACACTTTGATCCCATCGTCCAGTTACTTCTCTTACGAATCAAAATTCCTAGAAAGAGTTGTCTGTATTAACTGTCTGTACTTCTTTACCACCAATTTTCTAACTTACTTCATTGAAGACTTAATCCTGTCAACTTTACTGAAATTGCTTTTGTTAAAAAAATCAGGGCTTCCGTGCTGCAAAATTTAAAGGTTAATCTCTTTATCTTACGTTCTCTCTCAATAGCATTTAATATAATTGATTTTTCTCTCCTTCTTGAAATGTTATATTCACTTGACTATTTTTTTTCTAATCTGTCATTGTTCACTCTTCCTAAGTCTTCTTTTCTGCTCTTATATGCCATCATAACTCTAAATTTTGGCTTGATTGTGGACTCACTCCTGCCTCTTCTTTAGTTATATTATCTTCCTGGTCATTTATTGCAGGCTGGTGGATACCATCTATACATTGTGACTTCCTAATTTATATTTCCAACTATAAATTCTCTCCTGAGTTATAATAGCACATTTTCTTCTTCACATGGATATCCAGTACACTTCTCAAACTAAATATTATTCTTGATATATTTGCCCCCTCATTCTCTTCCTAATTTACTCCCCAAAGATTTCTCCATATCAGTTAATGGCACCATTATTTATCTAGTTTTATCTTGCCAAAAACTTAGGAGTCATACTTAATTTATTTTTGTCTCACTGCAAATTTCCAACACATTAGTAAATACTGATAGTAAAGCCATCAAGATGTATCACATTTCTGACCACTTCTTACTACCTCCACCACTTACACCCTCATCTACGCCAACCTAAGCTGCTGCAACAGCTTCCTTTATTTCAGTCTTGCACCAAGCAGTCTATTCAAACAGAACCCGGAGTAATATTCTGTAACAAAAAATAAATTGGGTCATATCAACATGTTGTTTAAAACCTCCTTGTAATGTGATTTTGTAGGCTTAGCATTTTTGTTTTAATTCTCAGACTCTTATAAGCTAAAATATGTTCTAAGCCATGCATTAGGGGCTATCTGGTACACTTTAAATATGAGAAGTTCTGTTTTATGATAAACAAATATTAAGTTGCTCATTATATTTACTTTTGATTGGAAAAATATATCAAATTCCAATTCCATGTAGATATTATATTCAACCAGTAAGGTTAATTAAAATATTTGATTACTTCCAACCTTTATTTAATTTAAAGTAAAATTTCTGGAAATAACAAAATATATTGGATAAGAAGAATTTAAAATGAAAATCAATCCATCAAATGTAGTTGGAGCCCTATCTGATATGTCAAAAATTTAATTACAACTGAACTAAAATTATCTTTTTTTTTCTTTTAGCTGACATTCCTATGTATATTTAAGTCTAAATGTAATATTAAATGGATATAAGTTGTCACGTCTCCATGAGTAGGAAATAAGTACACAAATGAAACTCTCTACTGTCATCAGCTTTGTGGGCAAGTCAAAATTAATTCTTACAGAAAGGATTAGATTTATGTTTTTTCAGTTATCTCAAAAAAGGAAAATGATGAATGCATTCTATGAAAACATTCATTTTAGAATTTTCCTATTCTAACTGGGCACAACCACACATTACTTTTTGTCACTGTTATTCTTCCTGACTTCTGGTAGCTATAATGGGTATCCTTTCTGAAGCACTGGGCATATACTGGAATCCCTGCCTCTATCAAGGAGAGGAAGAAGCCATCATTGACTATTGTTCATTTTATTATTGCATATAAATGGTGCTGTGATATTTGTCACAACTTCTATCAGAAAGAAAGCTAGTAGGGGTAAAATGGCAAATGATGATACAATTATTTTGCAACCGAGTACTCAATTCCTGGGTACATTAGCAAACTCTCCACATATCACATTAGTGTGTTATTAGTGAGGGCTAAATTTTGGGAATGCCAAGCCCATATGCAGCAAAGTATATACATAGGTTTAGGTAATTAGAGTGTGTTGAATAATTAGTGGATTATTTTCAGGCCATCAGCAATCTTTATATGTAATGTTTATTTTCAAAGCTATCAATTCTGTCCCATCTCCAATGTCGCATCTCCAAAAGGTAGTTGGGGGTGTGAGATTTTCCTACCACTATCTATCTTTCTTCCATGTGGAAGCATCTTATTATACATTTATCTCTCTTTATATCTGTCACCATGTGAATACTAGTTCTTTTGGGTCATCCTTCATCTTTGCATTCATATCTATCCCAAAGTACAGTATACATCTACCTTTTTTTTTACCATAATTCTCACTCCTTTCCTAATCCTAAAACTTTACCATACCATTAATTCAAACTCATATTCTATCATCAGAAAAATACCCTCTATTCTCTACATCAACTTATCTGAACTTTCTCTATACTTTCTTGGAACCTGACTCTTCCCTGAGAAGATACTTCTTTCCCTACAGCCTTTCTAAGTTGTGGCTTTTTCCCACACACTCACAATCCTGGGCGTGGAGGTAGGGAAGCTGTCCTCCTTCTTCTACGTTTCTGCTTCTAGACCATTCTCCCTCTCTCCTAAAAATCTCTAGTTTTGATTTTTCAGCCATCAAAGAAAATGTCTCTAGCTCCAACACTATATTTCTTAAAATCCTTGTTGACGTCAATATCCACATAGTTGATCTCTTCTATAACTCTTGTACTTTCCCTCAATTACCTGCTCTTTACCCAACTTAGCCATGCGTATGTTCAGATTCTGTACTCTCATTCCCAATAACTTCAATCCCTCCATAATCTCCATTTCAAGTGTCTCATTCTCTTACTCCCACCTCCTCTTTCTCCAGTTCATTACCTCTAGTACTGCAATTCTGGAACATGCTCACAACTTGCCCTTTCTCATGCCTTCAACTCACCAAATCAATTTCATGGTCCATAGGTACAATAAATCTGTTGCATATAGTCTCATCTTCCTTGCTTCCTCAGTATCCCTTTCCCCTACCTTATCTAATACTTGTAATTGTGAATGGCGACCTCATTTATGCCTGTCTCTGTTCAGATAAATGTAGCTGAATAAAAATATACAAATGTGCTGAAAGGGATCACATTAAATCCATGACCACTAAATACAAATTGTTCCCTAAGGAATTCTTGCAATCATACTACATTTCCTGAGCCCTCTCACTCTTGACAGTTTCATCCACCTAACTCCTTCCTCATACCTCCAAAATCTCCTACATTCTCAATTTTGACTAATGACCTAGAGTACTAATTCATTGAGAAAAATACAGGCTACAGGCAATCAAATGAGAACCTCCAAAAGCTTCCACAATCTCAATGAAACAGACGACTACTTGCCACCATATGGTCTGCCTTCCCTCCTGTTACAGTGGATGAATTCCTGTTACCCTTTTCTTTAGGTCTGTATATAATTGTCCACTGATTCCATCTGTGATGACTCCAGATATCCTTTTTTATCAGTAGCTTCATAAATGTTTTTGTCTTCTAAATTATTCTAATTTTTATATAAAGTTATACAATTTTACTTGTATTAAAAATTAATGCTTATCCTCACATCATCTCCTACAAGGTATCACCCAATTTTATGTCTCTCCTTTATATTAAAGCTCCTAAAAATTGATGACACCTGAAGAGTTGAGTACTCCGATTCCAAACCTCCACTTTTTTTTTCTTGAGCCAGTTCAGTCAGGCTATTTCTTAACACTGTATCAAAGCAACACTTATCAAGGTTTATATGATCTCTGTGTTGCCAAATTTAACTATGAACTCATTCTCCTAATCTTACCTCACCTCAACCCCTCCAGCCTGAAATAGTTTTTCACTTGCCTTCTAGGATATCACACTATCCTAGCTGTTTTCCTATCTCACATCCTGCAAAGTGTTGCTTTCTTTTGCTTGTGCCTTTTGATCTCAAATACTCTAAAAATGTTGGAGTATTACAAAACATGGTGTTT
Source organism: Homo sapiens (assembly GCF_000001405.40). Lineage (NCBI taxonomy): Eukaryota > Metazoa > Chordata > Mammalia > Primates > Hominidae > Homo > Homo sapiens. Next base: position 36,334,904 of record NC_000023.11, read on the forward strand.
GTTTCTTTTATGGCAATCTATGATGAATTTTATGGATCTCTATCTGTGCTCATACCATAGGTGATCTCATCCAGACTCATGGTTTTAGATGCCATGTGTATGTTAGTCATTCTCAAGTTTTTAATTTTTTTTCCAACCCACAAACATTTTAAAATTTGGGCTTAAAAATTCAATGGCCTACACATTATCTGTATTTAAATATCTAATATAAATCTGTAAATTTTACATGTCTCAAAACAAAATAACTCTCTCTCTCCAAAATACTTTGTCCTTCGGTTTTACTTGTCTCATTAATTGCAACTCTGCCATGATAGATACTAAGACGAGATATGGTGTCATCCTTGCTCTCACCTTTCTCTCACATCCCCCAATCAACCTGTCAACAAGCCCTACCAACCTTTTTAGAAAATGCATCCTGAATATTCCTCTTCTTAACATGACATCTACCTCTACCAAACTACTTTAAATTGTCATCTTATCTGTCACCTAGTTTGATAAGCTAACAAATACCCCCCGCCTCAAAAATATATCGACTTTCTAATCCCAAGAACTATGAATATTACCTTATATGGCAAAAATCACCTTATAAATAATGTTATAATTTACCAGTGAAGCTATCTGGGCCTGAAGGTTTCTTCTAGGAAGCTTTTAAACTCATAAATAGATTAATGCCCTCTTTTGGAGGGTGTAGTGAGTTTCCACTCTGTTGGTTCCCATGACAGCTGGTTGTTAAAATAACATTCTTGATGTGACAAAATTATAAAAATGGAAAATAGATTAGTGGTTGTAGTAATTCAGGAATGTAATGGGGTAGGAGTTGGTGGTGGCCATAAAAAGCCAACCTGAGAGATTCCTGTGGTGGTGGAACTTTCCTGTATCTTGACTATATTAATATAAGTATTCTGATTTTTCTTCACTATAATATTACAAGATGTCATCATTGGAGATAATTGGGTAAAGAGTGCATGGAATCTTTCATTTCTTACAACTGTATGTGAATCTATAATTATCTCAACTATTTTTGTATTAGAAAACGATATCATAATGAGAAAACTGTAAAGGATAAAGACATACACTATACTTGGCGTTTGTAATATCTTATCATAAATTTGTTTAATATAGTTGCTGCCTTGGCATCCATTTTTGTGCCTGACATAAGTTATTTGAAACCCAGTCATACAGGTGGCCTAGTTAAGACTTCCCCTCCCCTTATGTTTGTTTGCTATTATAACCCACTTGTTTCTCATCTCCACTGACCCAAAACCTAAACCCAACACATTCTCTCTGTCTGTCTGTCTGTCTGTCTCTCTGTCTCTCTCTCTCTCTGTCACAGACACACAGACACACACACACACACACACACACACACACACACACACACACACACACACACACACTCACATTCTCCCCCAGCTGGTTGAGCTCCAAGGAACTTCCCATTGGTCCTCTGCCTTCAAGCCTAACTTCTCTGGGACCTGTGAATAATAAATTTCTTCTGTTCCTTGCATTTGGTTTCACCTCCTCATTGTGTCTCACCTGACACATACACCTGAATCTAACTCGTCACCCATCAGGGCTCTCCTAGACTGACTATTTTGGCTAATGTCCACTAGCAATAGACAGATCTCAAGACCAAATTTGAAAGAGCCATAACAATAAAAATTATAACATATCTAATTTTTAAAAGATAAAATATTCATCATTTATATTTATATGATTGCTAATAACCAGAGCTCAACTGTCAGAGTTCTAGCATCAGCATTTAGAAAAGAAACATTTATGTTTTCTTTCCTTAGGAGATATAATTGCTGTGACTCGTGTCATGTTGATTTTAGTTGACATGTATAATTTAGTTTGACAATAAATAAGAAAAATATTATTTGAAAAATAATATGTTTTTGAAATAAAAGGCAACTATTTATAAATTGGAAAAGGTCTTCAAGGACCCAGTGTTTAGTGACATATGATGATGTTTACTGCTGCTTTACATAAAGCATGCCCAGATCTCCAGATAATTGTCATGGAAGTTTATCAAATTACATTGGCAGCTAAGCATGGTTTCACATTTTAAAATAAACCTTCTTCCCTATTACGTCAAATATTCAATTTTCCACCCAACTTAGCTCAGGTTTCAATTATATAGATTTGTAATTATGATTTATAGCCTAAAGCATGTGAGTTTCCGAGCTAGTCAGTGAAGCTGCTGATTTTATTGAAAAACAAAAGGCCGTAACTCTCATTATGCAAAGATGTCTGGGAGCTTGCCCTTCAAAAAAATCTCCATAACCTGAAATGTAGACCTATTTATACCACCAGAATATTTCTGTGAAGAGAGCAGAAACTGCATCTATTAAAATCACTTGTAAGTGTCTGGTTTTATTAAATGGAACACAAAGCACAGTGTCATTTTTCTGTCATTTTATGCAGTTTTCTTCAATTCAGAAATACAGGTAAATATTATAACAAAAAGAGGACTAATACCTGCTTAGGAGTTATGAATACCAGGCCTTTACAAGAGGTAGATTAGTAGGTGGATATATATAGATGGTAGAGAGAAAGGGAGGTAGAGAAATAGGTAAAATGTGTGTGAGTGATGAACTTGTGATGGGACATCATTTTCCTTTATTAAAATTTGCTATAGTCAAATTTCCTACAGTGAATTGAAACCTGAAGACTACTAGTGACATGTAACACTTCTGCCCCTTTTCTCACTGATATTCGTCCTATTTTATTAAGAATATAGAGGCAAAACAGAGGCAAATTATCTGTTTCTGTCATTACATATTAATAGATTAGCTTAATTTTATTTGCATCCATGTGCCTTGCCTTCCCTCACATTACATCAGAAAAGGACTCTGTGCTCATATTGGCCAGTCCTCCACCAGTTTACTGAATCCCATACCTACTCAATCATGTGAAGCTGTCCAATTTTCTCCTCTGTTTTCCATAATCCTTTTTTTTTTTTTTTTTTTTTTTTTCCTGAGATGGAGTCTCGCTCTGTCGCCCAGGCTGGAGTGCGGTGTGGCGCGATCTCGGCTCACTGCAAGCTCCGCCTCCTGGGGTTCACGCCATTCTCCTGCCGCAGCCTCCCGAGTAGCTGGGACTACAGGCGCCCGCCACTACGCCTGGCTATTTTTTTTTTTTTTTTTTTTTTTTTGTATTTCTAGTAGAGACGGGGTTTCACCGTGTTAGCCAGGATGGTCTCGATCTCCTGACCTTGTGATCCGCCCACATCGGCCTCCCAAAGTGCTGGGATTACAGGCGTGAGCCACCGTGCCCAGCCTTCCATAATACATTTTTAATGGATTATTCTTATCAGCATACCCATGTTACAATAGCTCTCAGTTTAAAAGTCACACGGCTCTTTATCCCCTGACCCTACCAGCTGTCATCCCATTTCTCTGATCCTCCTTGACAGCAAAACTATTTGAAAGCCTGACTGTATTTACTGCCCTCACTTCTTATATCATTATCTCACCCAAGCTAATCCAGTTTTATACACTATCATTCTCTTTTACTCTCTGATACAGCTCTTTTAATTAACTAATAACCTAACATTGCCAGATCTAATTATCCATCATATGCAGTTCTCATCTTGCTCAATCCATGAGCACTGCTTGAAGCACTTGATCTCTCACTGTTTTGGAAACAGTTGATCCCCAGGAATCAATTCTCCCTTTATTCTTCTTCTGTTTCTTTAGTGAGCCCTGCTCATTCTCCTTTGCTGTTCCTGCCCCCCTAACTTCCTAGAGGCTATCTTCTCTTTTCATTTCTATCCACATTCATTTCTAATGGGATCTCATTTATTCACACATAAAATGTCAAGTTCTAAATTGATAGCCTCAGCCTCAACCTCTCCTTTAAATCCAGACTCATATGTCCACCAGCTATCTCAATATTCCCCCTACAGATATCTATGAGGCTTCTCAAATTTCTTTAGGTGCTCTGCTCAAGTGACACCTTATCACAGAGACCTTCCTGGAACACCCTGTATTAATATTGATTTCACTCTCTAACCTTTAACTGTTTTACGTAACACCATAAGTGCTATACATTTTATTTATTTGTTAATGTCTACTCTCACTTGCCGACACATTCTGGAATCTCTGACTCAAGAAAACAGGAGATGTGTTTTCTTTAATATTTTATCCTCAGTGCTTATTATAATGCACAACACATAAGTATTTTCTAAATGATTAAACAGAAGAATAAAATAATGTAGAATAAAAAGCATATTGCACAAAATGGAATTATCTAGACAGGTCTGGGGTTGTACCTTTTCCATAACAAAACCTTGGTGTGTATATTATATTAGCTTCCTTTTTTATATGAAGAAAATCTCACTTATAAATAACTTGCCTAGTTTCCCAGAAATAGTGAGTAATTGAGCACAGAATTAAACTCCTCTTAGTATAGTGCAGAGGAAGAGGAAGACATGATGATTGATCAATAAGGTATGTTAGTTATAGTAGTAGTAGTAGGAGACATTATTTTATCTTAAAATTATCTGTGGGTAATTTAATTAAAATTAAAACCAGCCACTTTCCTAGAAAAATATACAGTTTCTTAACAATGTTTTAAATCTTAGGTGTTTTTTCAACATATAAAGAAAAATGTTATCATGGAGTAATACGGATGGAAGAAGCATTAAGAGATTCTAAACACATGTGTAAAGCCAGAAACCCTTCCCTGTTATACATGTCAGTGGTTATGCAACGTGTGCTTGACAGTCCTCAATGTCAGGAAACTTTCTCCTTCATTGTGCATCCTATCAACAGTCTCTGATAATGGATTATTCACTCATTTTGAGCCACAGTGTTCACAGTAAAAGCAATTTTTGCTTTAAGTATAATTTTGTTATTTGTGCTAATATATTCTTAAAAAGAAAACATAAAACTTTAACTTACAGGTACTTAGCCCATGTTGTAAAGTTTACCTTAGCAATCATATTTGCACTGAATAACCCCAAAACCTACTTAAAAAGCATTATGTCATGTCTCAAACTGAACATTTTCTAAGAAGCATGGATTTGTGTTTATTCCCCAGTTGCATGCATGAGTAATGTGACCTTCTGCTTATGCTTGCTTTTTCTATACTATTTCCTTTGACAGTGTCTTCTTCGGATAACCTTCTATTAAATCTCAAACATTAGCTAGCTCTACGAAAGGTTAACAAGGTAAAACAGCAACAGTTTCTAATTCTTTAGGAGAAAAATGTAATCCCTTAAATGCCCTTCTCACTATTCAGTAGATACTCCCATTCAGTCAAGGGAGTATAGGTAGGAAAGGGAGAATGATTCATCCCTAGCTTTTCCATCATCAGAGCAACCAAATGGCAGTCAGATGATGTTTTTCTATCTGCTCTATGTTTTGACAGCAAGGAGTTAGAATCTCTGTAAGGAAATTTAATGACAGCCATGCCACAGACTCAGGGATAATATATAAAAAGAAAAGATAGTCTCATGAATTAGTTTGCTAGGGCTGCCATAACAAAATGCTGCAGACTGAGTGACTTAAATGAAATTTACTTTCTCACAGTTCTAGAGGCTACGAGTCCAATGTCAAAGTGTCAGCAGGTTTGATTTCTTCTGAGGCCTCTTTCCTGGGCAAGCTGTGTCTTCATGTGGTCTTTTCTCAGTGCATTTGCCCCCAGTGTCTCTCTGTGTTCAAATTATATCTTCTTATAAGGTCACCAGTAATATTGGATTAGAGCCCACACTAATAACCTAATTTTCACTTAATCAACTCTTTAAAGGCCTAACCTCCAAATACAATCACATTAAGAGGTACTGGGGATAAGGTTTCAACATATGAATTTTTATGTTGGGGGCACAATTCAGCCCCTAACATCTAGGAAGAACAAATTACAGGATGCGACTCTCCTTCAAACCACCAATAGAGTAATTATGTTCTATTTTTATTTAAAAAAATTAACTACTGGAAACACAAAGTATTCAAATGGAAAAATACATCAATTTTATGTTTGAAAATGGTTAATGAAAAGTCACATTCTTGATCACTTTATGTTTCAAAAATAAAAACAAGTATTCTTAATTAAAAATAAAAAACTTGAATTTGTATTTAAAGCAAAAATAATAGTACTACTTATGGTGCTAGTATATTTCTTTTCTTTTCTTTTTTTTTTTTTTTTTGAGGCAAAGTCTCGTCCTGTCACCAGGCTGGAGTGCAGTGGTGCGATCTCGGCTCACTGCAACTTCTGCTTCCCAGGTTCAAGCGATTCTCCTGCCTCAGCTTCCCGAGTAGCTGGGACTACAGGCGTGCACCACCACACCCAGATAATTTTTTGTATTTTTAGTAGAGACAGCGTTTCCCCATGTTGGCCAGGATGGTCTCGATATCCTGACCTTGTGATCTGCCCGCCTCGGCCTCCCAAAGAGCTGGGATTACAGGCGTGAGCCACCGCGCCTGGCCGGTGCTAGAATATTTCTTAGTGTCTCTTGGATTATCTGACATGGGCCATTTCTAATGCCACAGTAATTATTAGAAATTGTGCACAGTTTATTAAAAAACGGGAGCAGAAATGTAATACAACTAAAGTGATGAAAAATGAATTGCCCAAGTTGAAATAATTTTATTACTAAAATTAGGGTTATGTTCACTTTACTATCTTGAGAAAATTTTCTTGAAAGACAGAAGACCTCATAGCTATTAAAACACTGTACAATTTCCACATTTCAAATAGGAGATCAAAGAGTAAAAATTTCTAACACCTTTAATCAAAAGAACAATCAAAATAGCAGTTTTAAATATACACCAAATAAAATTTGAATGCTAATTGTAATTGGGCTATAGTAGATTTTAAAAGCAAAGCACAAATAATAATAATAATAATGTCATTATTTTTAGTATTCCTGAGATACTAAACATGATTTATTATCAGGGTTTCTAAAATTCAAAAAATAATGTATAACTCTTTTAAAATATATATACATGTGTAAAATAAATTATGTAAATTAAATATGCATATTTTCCCGAGATGCTTAGTAGAGTTGAACTTTAAGAATGATGACTGTAACAGAAAATAATAAATCTATCAGTAGTTAAATTATATAGTGACTGTATGGAAATGGATAAAAAAAGAAAGAAAAAAGCTCAAACATTTTGAGTTTATAATATGTTTTATTAGGTTACTTAATCTAATAAATATAATCATTATACTAGCTAGATTTCCCAGTCAGAAGATACAAACAACTGATGTAATTACTTCCAGCTTCCTGGTAAACACATATGAAGATGTGTTTAACTACTAGTAACACTGAAAACTAAGACTAGCTGAAAACCTATTCCAAGAACCTAGAAACACTTTATATAATGAGGTTGGCACTCAAATAAGAAAAATAAATGGTATGTTTTTGTTCTTGGGTAGGTATGGATGAACAAAAATTTCAAATATCCCTAAACTGATGTATAAATGTAGGGTGATGGCATTTAAAATACCGTTTGTTCCCCCACGCCAGTCTGCTCCCTGGAGCTAACCGATCATTGCAAGTTTTAAATATTATTTTTAAAAATGAGCTGGAAAAGAAAGCAGTTAGTCTTACTAGAAAATAGAGCATCTGTAATTGACACAAGGTAATACTTACACATGAAGTGACAGAAAGACCAAAGCAAACTTCTAGGAAATCCTGAAATAAACCCAAATATATATGGAAATGCTATGAAGCTAGCATTTCAAATTCATACTCTTTTAAATAAGTGTGTTTTTTTGATAATTAGTTCCATATTAAAACATCAATAACATTAGATAAATTCTTCACTTCATACATGTGTAAATTACAGATGGATCAAATATTTAACTATAAAAATGAAAACATACAAGTATTAGAAGAAAACATGGGTAGATTTTTTTGTTGTTGATATGTAATTCATGGTGTTTCTTTTTTTAAATTTAAGTTCTGGGATACATGTGCTGAACGTGCAGGTTTGTTACATAGGTATACATGTGGCGTGATGTGGTGGTTTGCTGCACCTATCAACTGTCATCTAGGTTTTAAGCCCCACATGCATTAGATATTTGTCCTAATGATCTCCCTCTCCTTTTCCCCCACCCCCTGACAGGCCCTGGTGTGTGATGTTCTCCTCCCTGTGTCCATATGTTCTCATTGTTCAACTCCCACTTATGAGGGAGAAGATGCAGTGTTTGGCTTTCTGTTCCTGTGTTAGTTTGCTTAGAATAATGGTTTCCAGCTTCATCCACGTCCCTGCAAAAGACATGAACTCATTCTTTTTTATGGCTGCATAGTATTCCATGGTCAGTATTCTATCCAACAAAGGTCTAATATCCAGAATCTACAAGGAACTTAAATAAGTTTACAAGAAAAAAGAAACTCCATCAAAAAGTGGGTGAAGGATATGAACAGACACTTCTCAAAAGAAGACATTTATGCAGCCAACAATCATGTGAAAAAAAAGTTCATCATCACTGGTCATTAGAAAAATGCAAATCAATACCACATGAGATACCATCTTATGCCAGTTAGAATGGCGATCATTAAAAAGTCAGGAAACAACAGATGCTGGCGAGGATGTGGAGAAATAGGAACACTTTTACACTGTTGGTGGGAGTGTAAATTAGTTCAACCATTGTGGAAGAATGTGGTGATTCCTCAAGGATCTAGAACCAGAAATACCATTTGACCTAGCAATCCCATTACTTGGTATATACCCAAATGATTATAAATCATTCTACTCTAAAGACACATGCACACATATGTTTATTGCAGCACTATTTACAGTAGCAAAAACTTGGAACCAACCCAAATGCCCATCAATGATAGATTTTTAATTAGAAGGAAGAACAGCTTTCCTGTCCATAGTCAAAGTATTGTGAAGGGCAATGGGAAAACCATAGAAAATAAAACTAATTTGTCCCCAGAGTGTGATATTCCCCTTCATGTGTCCATGTGATCTCATTGTTCAATTCCCACCTATGAGTGAGAATATGCAGTGTTTGGTTTTTTGTTCTTGCGATAGTTTACTGAGAATGATGATTTCCAATTTCATCCATGTCCCTACAAAGGACATGAACTCATCATTTTTTATGGCTGCATAGTATTCCATGGTGTATATGTGCCACATTTTCTTAATCCAGTCTATCATTGTTGGACATTTGGGTTGGTTCCAAGTCTTTGCTATTGTGAATAATGCCGCAATAAGTGGGGTGGGGGGAGTGGGGAGGGATAGCATTGGGAGATACACCTAAGGCTAGATGACAAGTTAGTGGGTGCAGCGCACCAGCATGGCACATGTATACATATGTAACTAACCTGCACAATGTGCACATGTACCCTAAAACTTAAAGTATAATAAAAAAAAGAAAAAAAAAGAGAGAAAGAAAAAAAAAAAGGAACTAAGAGTTGCAGAATAGCAAAACTGAAGTTCAGTTCAAAAAAAAAAAAACTAATTTGTGAGATGAAAAATGAACTTGATACACTCTCAAAGTTCTTTTCAATGTTAATTTTCAGTGATTTCTTGGAAGTTAACAGCATTACAGAGTGGTTCTTATCCATCCAAAGGTATAATAATAGCTAAAGAAACCTGTGGTGAATTCAATAATGAACTTCAGTTCTACTTGTAGGCTTGGTAAAAAAGTTACAACCACAAATGGGGTACTAGATTTTCAATAAAATGGGCATGTTTGTCATGACATCATCTTTCTATACTTTCAATTTAAACGTTAAAAGAAATCATGGTATAAGTAGTGAGCTACTCTTTTTTTATCTGTCTTGACTTCTTACACTATCTTCACTATCTAAAAGCCTAGGTTTATTTTTAGTGGTCATATATTTTTTTTAGTAATAATGTAATCTTGTAAGGCTAAGTTATAATTGCTAAACTTTATCTCCTTGAGGATGCATGCATGGTTTATTTGAGTTAGCCTTTGCTGTTTTTATCTGAACATATTTTAAAATGAATTAATCTATAGTTTCCCTGAAATTAAACATAATGAAATCTCCATAAACTATACTCTTAATAACATTTGCACTTATGACCTGTGAAATATATAGTCATCTAGCGTACTCTTTCATTACCTTGAAGGGAGGTTTATAGATTTAAAGTCACAATAGAAAATCTATGTTATTGTACTAAGAATAATTGAGAACCACAATAAAAATATTAGTCAAAAGCAAAGGAGTAGGTTGGGTTCAAATATATTTTACAAGTTCTTGCAAATATCTCTGTGTATACAAAATGTAATGACCTTCATAATGTATAACTTTTTTTTAGGAAGTGTGTTTATATTAATTAACTTTATCTATTTCGTACAACAATGATTCATGAAAATATAGAATTCATAAAAACAAAGTTGAAGATAATTGAGTTTGTTTAGATCAGCAGTCCCCAGTCTCTGTGGCACCAGGGATCGGTTTCATGAAAGGCAATTTTTCCAGAGATGCGGTACAGGGTCGGGGGAGATTTTTGGCATGAGACTGTTCTGCCTCAGATCATCAGGCATTAGTTAGATTCTCATAAGCAGCCTGCAACCTAGATCCCTCACATGTGCAGTTCACAACAGGTCTCGCTTATGAGAATCTAATGCAGCCACTGATCTAACAGGAGGCAGAGCTCAGGTGGTAATGCTCACCCACCTGCTGCTCACCTCCTGCTGTGCAACCCAGTTCCTAACAGGCCACAGACTCTTACTGGTCCACCGCCTGGGGGTTGGGGACCCCTGGTTTAGTTATCTTAGTAAACAACATAATCTTTCAAGGGGACTTTGGGCAAGTTATTTAACTAAATTGTGTCAATGTTTTCATTTCTAAAATGAGAAACGTAAAAGCATTTAATTTATGCTGGTTTTCTGAGAATTAAATAAATTGTTGTATAAAAATACTTAGCACGGAGCCTGAATATAGTCAATACTCAACAAATATTAACTGTTAATTATATTAATTATTGATTATTATTAACAATGTTACTAGACCTTAGAATGTTTTAATTTCCTCAAGGAATAACATTTAAAATTTGAAAATTTACAAGAATTTTGAGTTGGAAAGTTTTGCAAAGGGGCCATTTTTAATTTCCATTTGTGATGTTTTAAATAGTTTAATAAAATAATTTTATTTGAGAAAAAATGACTTTGATTATCATCAGTCTTACAACAGAATAAAAAATGAGTGTAGTCAATAATCCTCTATTATCTTGTAAAGCAGTGTTACTTTAAATGTAGACATTCATAGGCTTGGAAACCCTCACTGATACAAATGCCCTGAAGCTTAACATTCTTCAAACCTCTGGAAATTTGTCCAAGAGGTAATTTGTTTTTTGTTTGTTTGTTTGTTTGTTTCTGTGTGTGTGTGTGTGTTTTTTTTTAAATACATTCTCATGACCACCTGCCTTTGGATCCTATAAGGTGCTACTTAATCATGCAGCTTCCTGGGCCTTAGCTCAGCCTAAATAAATCAGAATCTCTTGGAATGAGGCTCTGCAGGTTCCATGTCTATCAGGTCTCTCAGGTGACTCATGCATAGTAAATGTTGAAAAATTCTAATCCATTGGACCACAAGAAAATGTTGTCAGTGTTTCTGTCTTATGGTTTTCACAACTAGGAGCAGATGCCCCTTTCTTTCACAGATAAGCTTTGGCTTTCCTCATGGATCAGCTAAATAAATTAACAGCTTTTAGTGGCAGCAATTTGGGGGCTCTAAGCAGAGACTTGCACCTGTTATAGTCTAGAGAAACATATACGAGAAAATAAAGAATCAAAAATTGCTGTACTTTATCCTCTGCAAAATGTGTTAAGATATGAAAAGACTCATGGGTTTTGTGGCTCTTTTATCACTCTGGGAAACCTCAGCCATCACTTTCAACATTTCCTCAGTTCTAGTGGCATCTTCAGGAGAAACTTCTTACTTCAGGAAAATGTGTCTTTTAAAAAGACTTAGACGTAAGACCTAGGACCATAAAAATCCTAGAAGAAAACCTGGGCAATACCATTCAGGACACAGGCATGGGCAAAGACTTCATGCCTAAAACACCAAAAGCAATGGCAACAAAAGCCAAAATTGACAAATGGGATGTAATTAAACTAAAGAGCTTCTGTACAGCAAAAGAAACTATCATCAGAGTGAACAGGCAACCTGCAGAATGGGAGAAAATGTTTGCAATCTATCCATCTGACAAAGGGCTAATATCCAGAATCTACAAAGAACTCAAATTTATAAGAAAAAAACAAACCACCTCATCAAAAACTGGGCAAAGGATATGAACAGACACTTCTCAAAAGAAGACATTTATGCAGCCAACAGACATACAAAAAATGCTCATCATCACTGGTCATCAGAGAAATGCAAATCAAAACCACAATGAGATACCATCTCACACCAGTTAGAATGGCAATCATTAAAAAGTCAGGAAACAACAGATGCTGGAGAGGTTGTGGAAAAATGGCAACACTTTTACACTGTTGGGAGTATAAATTAGCTCAACCTTTGTGGACGACAGTGTGAAGATTCCTCAAGGATCTAGAACTAGAAATACCATTTGACCCAGCAATCCCATTACTGGGTATATACGCAAAGGATTATAAATCCTTCTATGATAAAGACACATGCA